>NC_000004.12:115133502-115285017 GCF_000001405.40 Homo sapiens
CCACTTAAAAGATATACATTGGCAAAATAGATGTAAAAAACAGAATCTAATTACGTGCTAGTAAAGACAGTTATGGACTCAAGGTAAAGGGTTTGAAAAAGATACTTCACATAAGTAAAAATCAAAAGTGAGAAACAGTAGCTATAGTTTTATATGTTAAAACAAACTTTAAATAAATGACAGTAAAAAAGACAAAGACAGTCACTGTATAATAATAAAGGTATCAATTCAACAAGAATATATAACAATTCCAAATACATTTTCACTCAACACCAGGGCACCCAGATTCATAAAACAAGTATTACTAGACCTTAGAAAAGAGATAGATTTCAATGCAATAGGATGAGAGACTTCAACATTTCATTTAAAACACTAGGGGGTCATAGAAACAGAAAATTAATAAAGAAACATTGGACTTAAATAGAACTCTACACCAAATGAAACTAACAGATATTTACAAAATATTCTGCCCAACAATCATAGAATATACATTCTTCTCATCAGCTCATGAATCATTTTCTAAAATATATCATATGTTAGGATACAAAACAAGTCCCAGTAAATTTTTTTTAAAGAAATAATTTCACGTGCCTTCTTGGACCACAGCAGAAAAACAAACAAACAAACGAACTAGAAATCAACACCATGATGAACCCTCAGAATACACAAATACATGGAAATTTAAAAAAAGAAAAAAAGCCTCCTCCTGCTTGATTTTTGGGAGAACAGCAAAGTTAAGATAGAAATCTTAAAAATATTTGAAATAAGTGACAATAGCGACATAACATACTAAAATAGCTGGATACAGCAAAAGCAGTTTAAGAGGGAAATTTAAAACACTAAACACCTACATCAAAAAGATACAAAGATTACAAAGGATACCAACCTAACATTGCACATCAAGTAACTAGAAAAACAAGAACAAGAAAAGCCTACAGCTGGCAGAAGAAAAGAAGTAACAATCGGAACAGGGAAAAATAGCATTGAGACCAAAAACTAAATAAATAAACACACACACAACCCCACAAAGCATTAGAAACCCCAAAATTTTGTTCTTCGAAAAGATTAACAGAACTGATAGACTGTAAGCTAGTTTAACCAAGATTAAAAGAGTGAAGATTCAAGCACAATCAAAAATGAAAAATGAGACATTACAACTGATATCACAAAAATATTAAAGATCATCACAGACTACTATGAACAACTACATTCAAAAACTAGAAAACCTAAGGAAATGAATAAACTCCTGAAAATATACAACCTCTCAATATTGAACCAGGAAGAAATAGAAATTCTGAACTGATTACTAATAAGTGGTAAGATTGAATCAGAAATTTTAGAATTCAATAACAAAAAAAGCACAGGACTAGATGAATTCACAGCTAAATTTTACCAGACATACAAAGAACTAGTACCAATCCTACTGAAACTGTTCTAAAAAATCAAGGAAGACAGAATTCTCCCTAACTCATTCTACAATGTCAATATCACCCTGATTCCAAAGTCAGGCAAGACACTACACAGAAAGAAAACTACAGGATGATATCCCTACCGAACATAGATGCAAAATCCTCAAAAAATTACTAGCAAACCAAACTCAACAGCACATCAAAAGATGATACATCACAATCAAGTGGGTTTTACTCCAGTGATGCAGGGCTTTTTCAACATACACAAATCAATAAATATGATTCACCACCTAAATGGAATTAAATGCAAAAACCATATGATCATCTCAATAGATGCAAAAAAAAACCTGGTAAAATTCAGCATCTCGATATGATAAAAACTTTCAACAAACTAAGAATTGGAAGAACATACCTCAAAATAATAAAAGCCATATGCAACAAACCCATAGCCAAAATTATACTGGATGGGGAAAAGTTGAAAGCATTGCCCCTAAAAACTGGAGGAAGACAAGTATGCCCACTTTTATGGCTCCTATTCAACAAAGTACTGGATGATGTAGCTGGAGCAATCAGGTGAGAAAAAGAAATAAAAGGCACCCAAATTTGAAAAAAAGAAATTAAAATTATAATCTAAATACGATATTTCATGATCTGATTGATACCTTAAAAAAAACCTTACAAATTCTTTTAAGATACTCCTAGACATCTTGATACATGACTTTAGTAAAAGTTTCAGGATGCAAAGCAACATGCAAATGTCACTAACATTTCTATACATTAATAATGATCAAGCTGAGAACCAATCTAAATTAAAATAGCTACAAAAAATATCCAGGAATAAGTTTCACTGAGGAAGTGAAATATCTCTACAAGGGTTACTACAAAACACAGATGAAAGAAATTGTAGGAGACACAAACAAATGTAAAACTATCCCATGCTCATGGAATTCAAAGATCAATATAATTACAATGGCCATACTGCCCAAAGCAATCTACAGGTTCAATACAATTTCTATCAAATTACCAAATGTGTTTTTTTCATAGAATTAGAGAAAACAATTCTAAAATTCATATGGAACCAAAAAGAGCCCAAATAGCCAAAGGAATCCTCAGCAAAAAGATGAAAGCTGGAGACATCACATTGCCTGACTTCAAAGTACATCACAAAGCTATTGTAACCAAAACATCATGGTACTGGTATAAAAAGACACATAAATCTATTATGGAACAGTAATCTATTCTCTTCCAGGATAAAGATATTCTGGAACAGAAATCTATTTTGTTCCAGAATAGAGAATCCAGAAGTAAAGCCAGTTTCCTACAACCAAGTGATCTTTGCAAAGTCAACAAAAACATAAGGGAAAAGATCCCTTATTCAATTAATCGTGCTGAGAAAATTGGATAGTCATATGCAGAAGAATGAAACTGGACCCTTGTCTTTCACTATATACTGAAATTAACTCAAGATGGAGTCAAGATTTACATATAAGACCCAAACCTGTAAATTCCTAGAGGTAAACCAAGGTAAAACTTTTCTAGACATTGACCCAGGGAAAGAACTGATGGCTAAGAACTCAAAAGGAATTTAGAAAAAAACCCAAAAATCATCAATAGGACTTAAACTAAAAAGCTTTGCACAGCAAATAAATAAATAAATAAATAAATAGTGCAAACTGATAACTTACAGAATGGGAGAAAATATTTGCAAACTGTGCATCTAAGTATAAACTAATATCCAAAATCTATGTGCACTCAAACAACTCAATAAGAAAGAAAATTGAATAACCTCATTAAAAAGTGGGCAAAATGCCAACATGGTGAAACCCTGTCTCTTCTAAAAATTAAAAAAAAAAATAGCTGAGCATGGTGGCACATGCCTGTGCTCCCAGCTACTCAGGATGCTGAGGCAGGAGGATGGCTAGAACCCAGGAGGCAGAGGTTGCAGTGAGCTGAGATGGCAGCACTGCGCTCCAGCCTGAGTAACAGAAAAAGACCCTGTCTGTAAAAAAAAAAAAAAAAAAGAAAAAGAAAAAAAAGTGGGAAAAGGATGAAGACATAAGCAGATAACATTTTAAAATGCCCAGTATCACTAATTATCACAGAAATGCAAATTAAAACCACAGTGAAATGCCATCTTACACCATTCAGAATGGTTATTATTAAAAAGTCAAAAAACCCCAACAGATGTTGGTGAGAACGTAGAGAAAAAGGAATACTTATACATTGTTGGTGTGAATGTAAATTAATACAACCTCTATGAAGAACAGTATGGATATTTCTCAAAGAACTAAAAATAGAACTACCATTTGACTTAGCAATCCCACTATTGGATATCTACGCAAAGCAAAAGAAATTGTCACATCAAAAAAAGACATCTGCCCTCAAATGCTTATTGCAGCACTATTCACAAAACCAAAGTCATGGAATTAACCTAAATGTCCATAAATCGAGGATTTAATAAAGAAAATGTGGTATATTTATACTATGGAATATTACTCAGCCATGAAAATAATGATGTCTCATATTTTTTGCAACAACCTGGATTGAAGTAGAGCCTATTATCTTAAACTAAATAACTCAGAAGCAGAAAGTTGATTGCTGCATGTTCTCACTTATAAGCGGGAACTAAATAATGTGTAAACATAGACATACAGAGTGGTATAATAGACATGAAAGGCTCCAAATGTGGGAGGGTAAGAATGGGTGAGTGATGAGAAATTACCTATTGGGTACATTGTTCACTATTTAGGTGATGGAGATACTAAAACTATACTTCATCACTATGCAATATATGTAACAAAACTGCACTTGTACTCCCTAAACCTAGACAAATGAAAATAAAAAAGATTAATAAAATAAAAAATTAAAATTTTCTGGGGGAATATAGTGACAACATTTCATTTTGAGTGAATTTCAAAGAGTAGAAGAGATATTTGAAACAGTGAGGACAGATAATAGTTTTGACAAGTTTTTCTGGTGAAGAAAACAAAAATAGATATTAAATAATAGAATATTTTATTATTTTAAGATTAGACTAATCACAACATATTTGTAGACTGATACGAAAGATCCAATGAAAATGAGAAACCATGATAGAAAAGAGAAATGGTGAACTAATGAAATAACGTCCTTGAGTAAGAGAGAAGGGAGGAATCTGTTAATGAAATGATAACTTAGTTTTTGATAGTATAGACAGTTCTTCTAGAGTAATAGAAAGGAAGGCAGTATATATGGAGGCAGTAGATAGTAAATAAGATGATGTGGGCTTGTGTATGGTCTTTTTAATGTCTTCCATTTCCTGGGTGAAGCAAGAAACAAGGTTGAAAGGGAAGATGAGAATGAAATATTTAACATTTGAAGAGATGAAAAAAATTTAAAAAATAAACATCTAGGAGAAAGGTGTGGTAAATAAGCCAAAAAAATGTAGGTACTGGCCATGAATGTAAAGTATAATTAGTCCGAGAATTTTTACCTGCTACTTTCAGCTGCATTAAAGCAAATGAAAATTAAGGAGTGAGATATAATCAAAGTTGGCATTTTGTCAAAAGTTTATAATTAAAGAGAGGACAAATATGGAATTTGTATTTATCAGGGGTGATTATAATTATTGTACTTCCAATTAAAGGTGGGGCATGAAGACCTGGGGGAAAAGAGAGATAGTGAAAAGTTTCCAACATCAATTCGTGGGTCTTAGTAGATCAAAATATTGGAGTTGAGATGCTAGATGAATGAGATTTATTGCTTTCTGCTTTGCTTTGTGCCTTTTAGTAAATAAAAATTTCTGTTCTCACCGTATTTTTCTGGCCACTTTCACTAGTAAAATACCTGGACAACTATTACTGTAATTTATTCCATTACTATTAGGCATAAGAAAGTCTTCCTGCCATGTAGATTGGAAATTCCTGCTATTTTGGAAAAAGGAGGTGTTGGTCAAAGAATTAGATGTTTAAAACTGAAATGCTGAGGTGTGGTAGGTAGAGCAATGGTCCCCAAGGTGGTCCACATCCTAATTTCTAGAACCTGTGCATATGTTACCTTACAAAGCAAGGGGAATCAAAGTTACAGTGGGATTAAATGGTAATCAGCTGAATTTATAATAGGAAGATTATTCTGGGTTATCTGGGTGACCCTGATGTAATCACATAGGTCCCTGTAAGAGGGAGACAGAAAAGGGGGTCACAATGACTTGAAGGGAGAAAGACTTCATCTGTTCTTACTGGCTTTTAAGATTCATGAGGAATGCCATAAGTTAAGGGAAGCAGGTGACATCTAGCAGTTTGAAAGTGCAACAGATTCTTCCTTAGAGCTCCCAAAAGAAATGCAACCCTACTGACACCTGGATTTATGCTCAGTGAATTCCACTTTTATCTGTCAGAACTGTAAGGCCATATCTATGAATTGTTTAAGCCTCTCCATTTGTGGTAATTTGTTGCAGCAGCAATAGGAAACTAATACAGGAGGAATTGCAAGAATTTGTGAGGATAAGGTTTAGGGTGCAAACATGGAAGTGAGAGGCTCAAATATGGGCAAAGGAAAAGTCCTTTGAGGAAAGGAGTACAAAAACCATCAGGCCAGGAGTGGAAGGATATTAACATTTATGTTGAAAGGTGATATGGTTTGGCTGTGTCCCCACCCAAATCTCACCTTGAATTGTAGTTCCCATAATCCCCATGTGTGGTGACAGGGATCCAGTGGGAGGTAACTGAATCATGGGAGTGCTTTCCTCCATGCTATTCTGGTGATAGTAAGTTCTCATGAGATCTGATGGTTTTTTAAGGGGCTTCTGCCTTGGTTCATCTTGCATTCTTCTCCTTCCTGCTGTCATGTGAAGAAGGACATGTTTGCTTCCCCTTCTGCCATGATTGCAAGTTTCCTGAGGCCTCCCCAGCCATGCTGAATTGTGAGTGGATTAAACCTCTTTTCTTTATAAATTACCCAGTCTCTGGTATGTCTTTATTAGTAGCATGAGAACAAATGAATAAAAAAAGGACTTTGAATCAGCACAGGATGGGTAGAGTTAGAGTGACTTTTAAGAAGTCCTCTGATATAGACCTATCCCTCTGTTCATCTGCCACCTCGTCTCTTTGTGTGAAGAAATGAGATAACTCTTGCCAACATCTCAGCTACTGATCTCCCTAGGCCATTCTTATAGTATTGCGGATAGTTTAGATTTTTTTAATTCCTTCACCAATAGAAATTTCAAGTACACCACCAATACACCAGAAATGTGATTGAATGTGAAACTTTTTCAGTGGCATGTATTACGCTATCTTTTCTATTTCTTTATCTTTTTACTAACAGGCCTTGGTTTTAGAGACTGAATAGCTTAGTTCTATCACCTGTTGGTGAATAAAGCCATACTCTTATTTAGTTTTGTTGTTGTTGTCTTGAAACATGGTCTTGCTGCTGCCCATACTGAAGTGTGGTGGTGCAATCACGGCTCATGCAGCCTCAACCTGCTGGGCTCAAGTGATCATACCTTCTTAGATTCTGCAGTAGCTGGAACTCCAGGTGCAAGCCACAATGCATGACTATTTTTTTTAAATTTTGTGTAAACACAGGGTTTCACTACATTGCACAAGCTGGCCTCGAACTCCTGGGCTCAAGTAATCCTCCAGCCTTGGCCTCCCAAAGTGCTGGAATTATAAGCTTGAATCACTGTGCCCAGCCCTACTCAATATTTAAGCCTCATTTTACAGTTTATAAAGGGGGACAGAGAAACTATTAAAATAAATATATAGTTATAGAATAATGAAGTCCCTCTGGCAGCTTGTGATTATGCAGATCATTGTTGCAATACGAAGTTCATGGACAGGATTCCAGAAAAGGCATCTGATAAGGCACACTTATAATGCTCCTTCCACCTCCGCATTTCTGAAAGGAAGCTTGTTACTGACTGAAGGGAAAATAAGTTTTAATATTTTTTATATATCTAGAATTAATGAAAATAGTTTGGTGTAAGCCCTCCATATACTTGAGAATTTTTCAAGAATACTGCAAGCATGTTATGTAAAGAACATTTTCAGGTGATTGATAGATGAATATATTTTTATTGTTGAAAGATTGTTCAAACATATTGTATGTTATGGTTAAAAATTCAAAATATGGTTATAGGTTTCAACATAATAACAAACAATTCAATAACATCTCTGTTTTCAAAGCTAACTAGCATTAATAATGAAATTATCCGTCATTTCCAAATTGCTTTGTGCTTTGCTTTGTGCATTTTAGTAAATTAAAATTTCTTTTTGCACCTTGAGAATTTTTCTGGCCTCTTTCACTATTAAAATACCTGGACAATTATTACTGTAATTTATTCACATTTCTATTATGCATAAGAAAGTCATCCTGCCATGTACATAGGAAATTACTGTTATTTGTAGTTTTTTATTTTTTAAAATACACTTTAAACTGACAAAAATTATATAAATTTATTGTATACAACATGCTGTTTTGAAATGTGTACACACTGTGAAATGGCTAAATTGAGATAATTAACATATGTATTGTCTCACAAACATTTCTGGGGTGAAAAATGCTTCAAATCTGCTCTATTATGAACTTTCAAGCATACAATACATTACATTGTTATTAACTATAATCACTATGCTGAGTAATAGATCTCTTGAACTTATTCCTTTACTCTTAATTGAAATTGTGTATTCTTCCACCAACATCTACCCAGATCCCATCCCTCAGTCCCTGCTAACCACCATTCTACTCTCTACTTCTATGAGATCAACATTTTTACACTTCACCTATAAGTGAGATAATGTGGTATTTGTTTTTCAGTACTTTGGCTTATTTCACCAGAAGAGGATATCTAGCATTACACAGCTAACATTTCAACTAATTTATTTAAAGATAAAGTTCTTTAGATCATACACCAAAATTTTGAAAGAGTTCCAAATGGTGCCAAAGTAGCATTTAAGGTTGAAACTAAATTCTCTAAATTTGATTTTAAAACGTTCAAGTTGGTTAAGAGAAGATCCTCTCTAAATAAAATATGAGTATTCAGCATTTTGACTGAAGGAAGCCTGGTACATTATCACTTAAATGATACCCATTTATTGATGTGAAGAAACAGCTAATATTTTGGGTAAAGGGAATGAAATGAGACACCTATGATTTAAAAAATGGCTTTGTAAACTTTTTAATGCTTTTTAATTCATTTAAAAATTTTTGCTGTGCAGAAGCTCTTTAGTTTAATTAGATCCCATTTGTCAATTTTGGCTTTCGGTGTTTTATCAAAAGCTCATTATGAGATTCATAAGAACTAAGGATAGGTGATTTTGTCTATATTTGAGCTAGATCTTAAAGGGAGCAGCATAACTTTTGGAACTTGATAAAGAGATATTCAATGTGAATATCTCCAAAAAAAAAAAAAAAAGTTACCAGACCTTATGGTTTACTTCTGTCTGCTAAATCTTCTCTACTAAAATCTTAATGAACTTGTATTTCATAAAAGCAGAAAAAAAACCCCAATAAATTTCTCAGTTATCAATCAATTTTGAAGTAACATCTGCATTTAATTATGTTATGTGCATATAAAAGACAATAATGAGTGCTGGAGACTCAATGCTGCTACCATTTCAAAAGAAAACTGTCAGGCCTAAACTGAAGGTTTCAACAAGAAGAATTTCCCTAAATGTTTCTGTCTGAAGAATACAATACCTGAAAGCAAGAGATTTCTAGTAAATAATTTATATGCTCATAAATATTTTAAAAAATCAATGTTAAAATTCAAATTACAAAGAAAATCTGTTATATGGATTAACAGAGAAGAGAATCAATCAGTGAAAAGTTCATATTAGTCATTTTAATAACAAAGTACAAAAGAATAAGGTAATGACAAAAAAGTGACTTGTGTTAAAGAGGATGACTTGAAGGAATAGCAATTATTAAATATCTGATTACATATTTTATCAGTTAAAATATGTTTCTTTATGTGTGTTTGTTATAAGAAGCAGGTAGGGGTAATAGTCGCCAGCGTGAGCTAGGAGTCTGGAAGAGGGCGCGGTAGGTGAGGAAGGTCAAGTCCAGGAACTCTAGCTCCTTGCCACTCAAGAAATGTCCTCCCTTTCAGAATATGCTTTGCGCATGTCTCCTCTCAGTGCTCGGCTATTTTGTCAAGTCGCCAGGCCTACTGATTCCAAGGCTATGAAAGTGGTGAAACTATTTAGTGAACCTCCCGTGGCCAAGAAAAAGGAAATTTATGACTGATATCCAGATCACAATACTTAATACTGCACTCACGGGGACACTCCAATTTCTTGGACTCTACAGAGATAAGCATCAAGATTTTAAAGATGAGCAAAAAGGACTAAAGAAGCTTCGTGGAAAGGAGAAACCAAAGAAACGAGAAGGGAAAAGAGCAGCAAAAAGGAAATAGGGTCGCTCCCTCAAGAGGGAGAATTTCTTCCTCCGTGGCAGAGAGAAGAAAGTGCATTTATTGCCTTTCCACATATTGGAGGAATGTCATCTTCTGAAATGAAGGTTATTTGGAGAAACACAATCATCTCCTAGTTGAAATCTATTCCAGTTAAATTGTGACTGGTTTGTTGAACACATTCTAACCGTGCAAAACTCTTTTGGCCTTGGCCGTGTAATGTGAGGTTTACCTAATTCTCTAATGAAGTGAATACATAAGCTAATATTTAATGGTTTGGGGTGGGGTGGGATGTTGGAGCAATGGAGTGGAAACCTCATTAACTGAGCGTCCTATAGTGTCCTCATTTCTCGCTTCTTGCTTACTTACTCACCCAGCCCTAAACTTCTTTAATCTAGGGCCCTGCAGCCACTGTCTCCACCACCAAGCTCACAAATTTTCTGTGCCTCTTCACCTACTCCTTTGAGAAATCTATTAAGATGAATTTGCAGGATAAATATCTTTTAACATACTTCCCTTACCTAGAAAGGAAATATTGAATACCTGCTCTATACAAGATACTGGGGCCCTGGTAATACAAGTGATTAGCAAGAGAAATACTCCCTACCTCATGTAAGTTTCTGTCTTGTGGGAGGGACTAAATATTACATAATTACATACAATTGTATTACATGCTACAAAGGAAAAAGCCAGACTTCTATAAGAGTGTGGATGGTTGGGGCCGGGCGCCGTGGCAGACGCCTGTAAACCCAGCACTTTGGGAGACCGAGGCGGGTGGATCAGGAGGTCACGAGATCGAGACCATTCTGGCTAACACGGTGAAACCCCGTCTCTACTAAAAATATAATAATAATAATAATAATAATAATAATAATAATAATAATAATAATTAGCCAGACGTGGTGGTGGGCGACTGTAGTCCCAGCTACTCGGGAGGCTGAGGCAGGAGAATGATGTGAACCTGGGAGGCGGAGCTTGCAGTGGGCCGAGATTGCTCCACTGCACTCCAGCCTGGGCAACAGAGAGAGACTCCGTCTCAAAAAAAAAAAAAAAAAAAAAAAGAGGTCCAAACCACATTAGGGAATTAAAAAAAAACCTCCCTAAAGAAATGATATGTAGGGGCAGGGCACGGTGGCTCATGCCCTGTAATCCCAGCACTTTGGGAGGCCAAGGCGGGCAGATCACCTGAGGTCAGGAATTCAAGGCCAGCCTGACCAACATGGAGAAACCCCGTCTGTACTAAAAATACAAAAAATTATCCGGGCGTGGTGCTGCATGCCTGTAATCCCAGCTACTCTGAAGGCTGAGGCAGGAGAATCGCTTGAACCCGGGAGGTGGAGGTTGTGGTGTGCTGAGATCGCGATAAATAAGACGTAGCCAGAAGAAAAATGGTGAGAAAGGTGTTTGAGGCAAGAGAGTACCATTTGCAAAGCCCTAAGATATGAAGAAATTGTCTATTCAAGGAACACTGACTTTTTCATGGTTGGCCATAAGAAAATAGAGGCCAGATCATGAAGGGCTTTGCAAATTCTGTGAAAAAGCTTGAACATAACCAGAGGTTATTTCTGTGAGAGATGACTGTTGTATAGATTTGAGTAGCTAGCTGCTGGTTTTATTGTATTCTAGCAATGAGTTTCCAAAGAAATTGTGAGGGCTTCTCTGATTTTTTTTCCCAACAGCATGGCCAGTAAACCTTTTTTAGTATATGTGCTGCCGAAGCAAGCACAATTTTTAATACTTTTTATTACTGTGGTAAAAACATAGAATTAATCATCTTAACTATTTTTAAGTGTGCAATACAATAGTGTCAACTGTATGCATGTTATTGCACTAAAGTACTTTTAATCCCTGTTTCTAGCTCTCAGGTAAAGAGAACACAGTGCATAGGCAGGAGTATGTATAGCAATACTCCAGCCACAGTTTTCTTTCTCTGTAACATTGAATGATTCCTGAACTAGAAAGAATTCCAGTACATATGTTTAAACGAATGATCCTTTTAAAGATACCTAATCCAGATGGTATGGCTAAGGCCTATTTTATAGCCTGTTAAAAAAATACTAAACTAAAATTGGGTGGTTTGTATCTGATAGAAGTGAATTCCAGCAGAAGGCTGATAATTCACTCATTAAGAATTCTTTACTGAGCACCTGCCATGTGCCTGACACATAATAGTTGTAGAGGATACAGAGACCAATAGACTCAGTCCCTAAGATTGTGTGAATGAGCATGTGTGTTTTACAAAGTATTGGCAAGATCCCAGAAATTTGCTTAGACAGGTGCAGACGCACTGTTACTCTTGGTCAATGCAGCCGAGCCAGGTGTGTGTGGATGATTACCCCAGGAGATTGGGCTGAGAAACAGGCTCTCAGCCTGAACCCAGTGTAGCTAAGTAGATGTTTGAATTATGTGATCTCTAATTACTGGAAAAGATCTGAATGTAAGAAGAACTTAGGACAATTAGCATGATATTTTAAAGAGAATTACTGCAATAAATACTAACAGCAGACCTGAGTTAGAAAAGAAGTAAAGAATCAATGTACTGATTTGCTGATAGAAGAGCTTCAATGAGATCTCAGACTCTGACCCTGCAATGAGCCTTGGCAATGGTTAACATGGAAGTTTGTTGATAATGCAGCAGTAGATTAGTGTGCCACTGCTCCAGGCTGAAAATCAAAAATGAAAGCTAAAATTTATTTGTACATAAGCTATAACTTCAAACCAACTGATAGAGCAAGTTGTGTGACTCAAAACAGCCTGTACTGAACTACGATGGACCAGCTGGAAACTATTAACAGAAGAAAAGGAAAATTTAACTCTTGACAGCAGAGAAGTCAAGAAATTTCAGGACACCAGTGACCAAAGGTTAAGATGAAGACTAAATGCAATCAGAAAAAAATATTTAACTCAAAGCTTGGACTAGCTAGTTTGTTTAATTGGATTTCTCTAGTTTGTTTAATTGGATTTCTCTGGTCAAAACTTAAACTATTGGTGCTTTCTAATTGGGTTCATTGTGCATAGACCATTTTGCCCTCAGTTTCAGCACTGCATAGTAAAAAGACTGGGCTTTGTATTCAGAAGTCATGGGTTTGTGACATAGTTTACTTACTGGTTATGTGACTAAATCACTTACCTTCTCTGAGCCTCTTTCCTTCTCTATAAAATCATAATACTTCATTAGATTAATGGAATATTAAGGTATTTGTGAAAAGGAATCTGAATTATAAAAGGTTAAACACATCTGCTAAAAATATAAACTTCTCCACATTTACAAGCAGCACGATAGATTCAGGAAGAAGAGGCAGATGAGAGATAACATCTTATTGTTTCTGTAATTATGGGCTCCAGAAGTTTATTTTTCTAAGCATCGTATATGTGTGTGTATTTCAAAATAAACATAAGGCATCATATATTTTAACATATATAACCATAATGCTTGTATTTAAAAATCATCTTCCAAGAAAGAATAAACCAAAATTTGAAATTCAAAAAAAGAAGCAGGTGGAAAGTTTTCAGTAAATAACAGAGATTAACAGAAAAATTTATTTGCCCAAATGTCCAACAATGATAGACTGGATTAAGAAAATGTGGCACATATACACCATGGAATACTATGCAGCCATAAAAAATGATGAGTTCATGTCCTTTGTAGGGACATGGATGAAATTGGAAATCATCATTCTCAATAAACTATCGCAAGAACAAAAAACCAAACACCGCATATTCTCACTCATAGGTGGGAATTGAACAATGAGATCACATGGACATAGGAAGGGGAATATCACACTCTGGGGACTGTTGTGGGGTGTGGGGAGGGGGGAGGGATAGCATTGGGAGATATACCTAATGCTAGATGACCAGTTAGTGGGTGCAGGGAACCAGCATGTCACATGTATACATATGTAACTAACCTGCACAATGTGCACATGTACCCTAAAACTTAAAGTATAATAAAAAAAAGAAAAAAAAAGAAATTATATCAGACTTTTCTTAGAAAGAAGTTAGATAGCAGATAGTTGTATTACTGTAAGATAGCAACAGATAAAATATAATCAATTTGATGAAGCATGACATTAGCTTGACTATAATATACATGTCACCTAGAATATTTATATTTCTAACAATACATCTAAAATGTATAGTTTCCAGAAACCTTATGTTTCTCTGGAACCTTAATAAAATCTTTTGAAATTATGGGCATGGCATGTTGATTTAACTGTGACACTTCTTAACAATATATATCTTTAGGACAATGACTGATTCAACTGTTTCCCCCCAGTATCAGGTAGTATAATTGGTTCCTTCCATAATCAATGATTAGTAAACATTCGTTGAATCAAGTAGAAAATATTCAGTACTTTCTAGTTAATCTGTTGAAGTTCTAAGAAGAGAGAAATTAAATTTCATGCTACTACCAAGAGTTCCTGGAGTTCTATGTAGTTTTAATGAGTTACCAAAAGCAATATAACTGTATATTTTTTCTCATTCTTTTAATTCAATACTAAAAAAGTAATTTTCATGTAATAAAAAAGGTGTATATAACAGTGAATTTAGTCTATTACTCAATTCTTATGCAAATGACCTAGTCTCATTGTATATATCCTTCTAATACATTTTCACATTCACTAAGCATTCTTTCATTTAAAAAACAACTGGACATATGTTTTACAACATGATAGCTATTGGGGATACAAGAGGAGTAAGCTGTGATAGGCCATTATTAAGAAATTCTGAATAGAAAAGGAAACACTCACTGAAATAATAAAATATATAATATGTTAGGTATAATGATAGAGGTATACACAATGTTCTCTGTGTCATCAAGATGAGAACCTAGTAATAGCAACTAATACCTACCTAATATTAAATGTGTTCCATGTACTGTTCTAACTTCTTTACAATTATATTCACATTTATGACATACAGTTATTGGGTCAAGAATAGATGCATGTGAAATAAATGAGAATCTCAGGACTCTTTCTTATAAGGCCAGGAGAGAATAGAATCTCTTTCTTGGCAAATCTTGGTGTACATAGAGTATACCTATTTTGTCATGTAAGAGAAAAAGCCTGAGAAGAAAGCCTGTCTGAAGCTGATAGAGCTGAGGGAAATTGGAGTGAATTCACAGACCTGAAGCCACTGAAGTAAGCTAACTGTGAATCTTGCTCTATTTCTAGACTTTCAATTACTTGAACCAATACATTCCCTTTTTAAGTGAGATTGAGCGAGGTTTTCTAAGACTTGTTACTTGAGTGGAAAAGGACAATTGGTTTAAATACCATGATATTTTCATGTGATTTTCAAAGCCCTCCCAACTTTACACATTTCTCCTTCCCCTAATAAATTCCAACCCACCTACTAAGATTGAACTCAACTCTAATAACCTATATTAAGCCTTTCATTATCTCTCCAGTCAGAAGTAATTAATTACCTCTTTTCCTTCCATTGTATCTAGTGGCACTGATTTAACTGTCTTGTATTTTAGTTAGCTGTTTTTCATAAGAATTCCCTTACTGGCTTTGTGATTAGAAAGATGAGGTTCAAATGTCAATTTCTCCAGTTATTATTTGGAAGTTCATTAAACTTCTTTGACTTAGAACTTCTTCATATCTGTAAAATAGTGATAATAAAAATTAAATTATAAGATTAAATAGGATGAAATTAGATAACACATATGTTATGGATTGAATTGTGTCTCCCACAAAAATATATATTAAAATTCTAACTCCCAATAGCTCAAAATGTGACTTTATTTGGAAGTGGAGTCATTGAAGATGTAATTGGTTAAGAAGATATCATACTGGAGTAGAGTGGGCCTCTAGTCAAATATGATTGGTTTCATTATAAGGTGACAGACATGTGAGGAAAGAGAGACACGCAAGGAGAACACCATGTGACAACGGAGGCATAAATTGGAGTTATGCAGTTGCGAGCCAAAGATCAGCAGAGATTGCCTGCAAACTACCAGAAGATAGGATGAGACAAGTAAGGATTTCAGAGGGAGTATGGCCTTTGTAATGTGACAGGAAATTGGTCCCGATCCAGACCCAGAGAGAGAGTTATTGGATTTCACACAAGAAAGAATTCAGGGCGAGTCTGCAGTGCAAAGTAAACGTAAGTTTATTAAAAAAAGTAAAGTAGTGAAATTACAGCTACTCTATAGAGAGCGTAGGGTGTTCCCAAGAGTAAGAAGACCCACTACCACCTGGATTTTCTACTTTTAGACTTCAGAACTATGAGACAATAAATTTCTGTTATTTTTAGCCACCCAATCTGTGGTACTTTGTTAAGATAGCCCTAAGAAACGAATACAGCATGGAACATACTGCTTATTGTTGAGCAAAACGTTAAACAACAGTGAGTTTATCTGAAACTTACTAGGTAGGCAATAAATACCAGCTAAATTTTAAAAGATTTTATTGATCTCTATATTGTTCTCAGTACCTAACACCCACACATAAACACACATGCGTACACACACATTTATTATATAGTATTTATGTGTATACTGTATTCATATAAATATACACTAAATATACTGTATATATTTGTGTAACATGTATTTATTTTCTTATTTAACTGTATAACAGTTTTTCAATGTATATTAAGATCAACATTGTCCTTTCAGGTCAAGGCTGCATGAACGTCTCTCCCCACCTCTTCTCTTTCTGATACATTGATACTCATGGTCTACCAGTCTTCCATAAGAATAGCAACATGACAGCAATGACATCTATTTCTTCATGACTCTACATCCGTTTTATCTTGCCACTTGTAGAAGAAAGTTGGCATCATTGAACATTACCAGGATTTATTTTATAAATGGGCCAGCAGCTAACAAATTTAAAAAGACAAATTAAAACTTTAAGTTAGGGCAGTCAGTTTAAGTGTCACAGGACTCAATGTTCTCATGGCCTAACAGATTGTAATTATTTCATTTTGTTAATTGTTGGAAGTGTATGAATTGTGGAAGAACATTTTAAACTGTATTAAATCATATTTAAAGTGTACTGTGCATTTAGCCTGCATATAGTATAATTTATTTTGAATGTCCAGTATTAAAGAAAATCTTTTAAAGAAGACTGATAATAGAACTATGTACTTCCTTTGAACTCAGGCCCAGATTCATACTGGACCATACACCACTAAATTTCATGAGTCTCAAGCCTTTGGACTCAAACTAAAACTATACCATTGGCTCTCTTGGGTCTCCAGCTTTCCAACTGCAGAACATGGGAGTTCTGAGCCTCCATAACCACATAATCCAACCCCTTATAGTAAATATCTTTGTATATATGTATCCTATTGGTTTTGTTTCTCTGGGAAACCCAAACTTACATACACTATATGAATATTATTTATGAAATTCCTCTCTTGCCTCAGTTTTTTCAAATGGAAAGTTTTGATCTGAATTACTTAAGTATGTGAAGCTGTATCCACTAGTGAATTCAGGTATATATTCTGGATATGAGGAAATGTGAATTCTGAGTACTCTATAAATTCTGGCACCTGAAGTTATATAGATCATATACACTGGAGTCCTAAATTGTGCACCAAACCATTTATATATGGCTGTCTCAAGCTGTAACCACTGATATAACAAACCATATATTGCGCAGCAGCAACTGGAGCCTTGAACACTGTATGCATAGTTTAAAGGGGTACATTTTGCCTGCTTTGAAGTAATGTCTGAAGTTGTATACACTGAAAGCATGTAATCTGAAATCTTGCACGTTGAACACATTGCCGTCTCAGGCTCTACCTTGAAATATTATTAGCCTTGTTTATTTTTGCTTTTTTTAAACACTAGCATCTAAAGCTATGTAGACAGAGCTTTCAATCTTTATTAATTTTTTTCCCTTTCATCCAGAGGCATAGTTTTAAGGGCCTATATTTAGGCATACTCACATGTGTAGGTCAACAGTCTGGGTTTTATTTCATTACTGACTTTTAAACATCTGCAATTTTCCGTGGCTTATTAGCTTAGTTGGGTAGTGTCTGATGTTAACATGATCAACGTTGTGCGTTCCATGTCACTATGAAAATGATTTCTGGACCTTCTTCCTTGTGTTTCTTCCTTCCTTTCTCTCATAATTGTATCTACTCAGACAAGTTTTCTCATTAGTATATGCCCAGGTACTAAAAAGGAATCTGGCAAAAAATATGACTATGTATGCAGAAATTAACAGAACTACTGCTAAAAATCTATAAAGAGTAATCAAATTTCCTATTTCAGTTCAGTTCAGAAAGCCTACAATGAGAACTGGGTGATGTGCTATCAAAGGACACAAAAATTAATCGTGTCCAAGTTATCCAAAATTTGCTTGTCAGACAAACAACTATAAAGAAGGCCATAAGACCAGTTAGACTATTACAAGTACTATAGTGACTTATTAAAGCCAGTTGCTTAAGATCGTTTAGATTAAAGCTATAAATATTTTGGGGGATGAGTGAAGTAGCACGTAGATAAGGGCCCTTTGACAGGTCTTTGAGGATGCTCTGGACCTGGATAAGAAGTGGTATATCAGTCAAAGCTCTTGGTCACAAGCCAAATTACCTCCTAGAGTTTACAAATTTAGCAAGTCTGGATAGGATGTACTTATACTAATTAATTAGTCAGTCTATTTGTCAATTAATTAATTATTTATTACTTTTGCTAGTCTAGCAATCTTAGAAGGGGTATTTAGATGTAGGACAGGGAAAACTATGGCAAATGACCATTGACACACAAAATATTAAGCCATAGGCTTTAAATAACTTTAAAAATGAGACTATCAATATAGTTTTCATAAAATTCAAATTTCAGCGAAATCTCATGTATAACTTTAAAAAGAATCATAAGATAATAACTTGTATATTTATGTGACCCTAGAGTTTTCTGCTCATTTGTATATTTAAAGATAAACTACATAGGGTTTTCTAAAAATAGGGTTCTCTAGTCTTCAAAATGAAAGCGCAAGAAATACTAAGTTTCTAAGTTTAGTACTGTTTTTCTGAAACTGTATGGCACACTAAAAAGATCTGTGTGTGAAGTTCTACAAACACTCACTACCCTACAAGAAATAACTGACATCGAATCTGAAGAACTTATATTCACAGTTTCACAAATCATTTAAGAATAGTCCTTGGGGAAATACTAGATATTTGTTGAATAATTCTGATAACTTGAATTTCAATCAGATATCAATTTCCTGCCAAAGAATTGTCTCTATTATCTAATATAGTTACTTCCCTGGCAAAATCTATTAGATTTAAAAGGTCAAAATTTTGGATGCTTCTGCTTTTATTTAGTAAGTATTTAAATGGGCTGCTATCTATTGGAACTTATTTTAAAAGGGTACATAGACATTTTATTCCTACAGCTATTAGAGTTACTTTCATAAACATCAGTTTATTTCCTCATAGGGGACATTTGAACTTCTGGATTATAGCACTGTTATACTGACCAGCCAACCTCTGAAGAACTGCTCTTGAAATGTCCCCCAAATAGTGTGTGGGGAAAAAACAATCAATCCAAAAACATCTTTATTAAGGAATTCTGTAGTAAGAAATTACTCTTTTGAGTATTACACATTTCACCTCTCAAATAATTAACACCACATATTTTCCTAAAAAGAACAGTACCCTGGACTTTATTATATCCCATGATTTAGGATTGGAATTTGTGATAACAGATATTAAGTCATAGAAACAGTATCTGTAGATAGAAAAGAATAGGTATGTGAAATGAAAATGTGTAAAGAACAAGCATGATATCCACATAGAGGAAGTCACAGAGAAAATGAATCAAGATAACAGTATTATTGTGAGGCACAGAGATACAAGAAAGGCCTCATCAGCAAATATAATCTGTAAAGGTTAAGAATTTTAATTTTCTTCAACAGTAAATAGCACTGTCACATTCCAGGAAACAGTGAATGACCTTGGTAAGCATGCAGTGTCCATGTGAAAAGAAGGAAGTAGTGAAATTAGTTGTGAGGTGAAGCTGTGAGGGTAGACAAACAGGTGGATAAAAAATTTTGAGCACAACCTATATTTATATAATATGATAAAAATGAAGAGTCATTATAAATGCTTTGCAAAGACTGGCCTGATAAAATGAAGATTGTTCTAATACCTGAGCAGAAGTTAGATTAAACTAGAATTAGCTAATTTTTCAGTTTGGTTGGGAGAGGCCTATAGTTGACTTTTTAAATGAAAGATTTGGGAGAATGAATAGTTAATATTTTAGCATACATTACTTCTGAGCTGAACCTTAAGAAAAAAACAGAATAGCAGTGTCAAGAGGTTACAGTATCTCTGGAATACATTTAGGTTGCTATTTCTTCCAGTAACGTCCTCAGCTACAGTCCACCCAATCAACCCTCAGAGTGTTGTCCATAGAACTACAGACAAGTACTTTGGGAAACTATTAATAATGACCATGGAAGCAGGCAGGACTCATTTAAGAGGCAAAATCAACATAATTTGGTAAATTAGAGAAAAATAAGTAAATTAGTAAGCATAGAGGATGAGAGTGTGGTGGTGAGATTTATGTTACTGTAGACAATATTGAGAAAATAGTTGTTTTGTATATACAAATGATGAGTTTATAGTCACCATATACTTCAAAGTACTTATTTTATATGTTTCCTAAGTACACATTTTGCTATTGCTATTGATTCATTGTTCTATTTGATTTTTTTGCTATGATTTCTAATGACAGTTGGAAATAAAGTGCTGTGCATACTTGAAAATGTGTGGGATTACAAAACAGTCAAGGACCCCGGGTCCGGTTACAGCTCCCAAATTAATCCTCTGAAACTTTAGCCAAGGCACTCTCCCTCTCTTTGTCCAGATTTGCCATTTATTGAAATTAGGTATAACATTTGGTGGTCACTTAACACATACAAATGAGTAATGGCACTTTTGAGCCTGACAAGATTGTAAGCAGATTTTTACTCTATGGGTTTATATTTGTGCTATATTTCCATTAAAGCTCCCTTTCCTCAGTATCCTTCCAAGTTTTGCTCATGTGAGCTTCTCAGTGAGGACTTCCCTGAGCAACTCTGCTGAAAATTTGTTCCTACTCCTCTCCACCCTCATCCTTCCTCATGCTTGCCTTTTCTCCACACTTCTTACACATGATGTAACTTACATACATACTTTATATGTTTGTACAACACAGAATATTACATGAATGATATACCTGGAATTATGCAAAAGAAATGCAGTGTCATGATTTGAAGGTTAGCCACAATGACAAATTGAACTCAGATTAAAAATACTTTTATAGAGTGTATTGTTAAACCAGCAATATAAAAGATAGCCATATGCAGGGGAATAAGTCATTGACTTCTTACCTCCTTCCAGTGACATAAATGGAATTCAGTTCATCTTGGTGGCATATAAAGAATAAGAAATCTAAAAGTCAGAATAGCCGTGAACTGGGGCTTGTCTATATACAGAAGTGATCCTGAAGGACTTCTCATAAAAAAGACATGAACTAACTTAGAAAAAAAAAAAGGATGTAAGATATTTTGAAAAGAGATAGTATTGGACCTGCATATAACCTGACACCTATTAAAATATTCATGGAATATTAAAAAGACAAAAACTTTCACAAACTCATAAATGTAAGAGTTTTCAACCTTAGCACTACTGACATTTGGGCTGGAAAATTATTTGTGGTGAGATGCCATCTGTTCATTCTAGGATGTTTGGCAGCATCCCTAGTCTTTACCCAGTAGATGTCAGTAACACTCTCCCTCCACCATTCTCTGCACAGAAGTCACATTAACCAATAGTGTCTTCAGGCATTCCCAAATATCTCCTGGGAAGCAAAAAATCACCTCTGGTTGAGAACCCTTGCCCCATAGCCATAAAAGCAAACAGAGAGTTCCTTATAACAAGCAGATGCAAGCAAAGTAAAAATCTACAAAGCATGAAAAAGGGAAGTAAATCTGCAACACTTGGATGGAAATACCGGTCTGAAATGGTAATAAGCATTACAGCTTTAAATTTTTCTAGTAAATATAAATTAAATATAACATTTACCTTTAGGAGAGAAAGAAGATACCAAGAAAGTAATAGCAACTAATATTATAATAACATTAATATCAAATACATAATTAAAAGAAATACTACTCAGTGGGATGAGTAAGCTAATCTTACAATAAAAAAAGTTAACTTCACAAGCCCTTGTACATGTAGGAATGTGGCATAAATCAAAACATTTTAAAAATATGAGAAGACATTGGCAAATATAGATGAAAAAGGGAAATTTAACACATGGTACTCTGTATCTGATAGAAAAATATTACAACTTGCGGCTGAGGCAGGGGAATCGCTTTAACCCAGGAGGCAGAGGTTGCAGTGAGCCCAGACTGTACCACTGCACTCCAGTGTGGGTGACAGAGTAAGACTCTGTCTCAAAATAAAAAGAAAAATATTAAAACTTGTTATTAACAGAAACCATAGAAGAATGAAAGTTGAATTGATATTTTAAAACTTTTTCTACAAATAAAGATTGCAAGATTTTTCAATGCTCCAAATATTAATATAATTTACCAAAATTGACTTAAAGTTGGAGAAAAAAGAAATCTAAAATAAATGCGTGTTTGTGCTCACACAATTATATGTGTACATTACAACCATAAAGATCACAATCTTTAAAAACACCAAGTAAACTTAAAACGTAATAGCAAAGACAGAAATAATGTATCAAAACAGAGAAGACACAAACAAGACTCCAACTATTTTGAAATTTCAGCAAGACAAAACATAATACCAAATGAAAAGTCTGCAAAACAAATAATAGTGAAAGTGACTATTGTTTAACATACCTTCACTGCCTATATATCACATGCTAAGTATTACATATAAATTTATTTGATCTGCAAAATCACCAAGTGAAGTCAGGTCTCTCAATGCTGCCATATTACAGAAGGCTGACATTTACCAAAATGGGGAAATAAAAAAATAGCACATTTGGTCTGTGTGTGGTTGGGGGAATGGATGAGTTCAGGGAGAAAGAATCAGAGATTTCTCTGAGATGTGCTACATTTAAAGTACCGGTGCATTTGCACCGGTTTCTCCTTTATCCTGGAGAACTTTTCTCCCAGATTTGCATATTACTCACATCCATATTTTAGTCACCTCCTCATAGGGGCTGTACTGAACACCTTATTAAAAACAGCACCTCTTGCCACCCTCTTACATGACTTCATTTTTCTGTATGTGTATAGTGTTCTAAGCAATTGAGGCAGGGCGTATATCTGATCCATCTTTTATGCCCAGCACCTATTATAGTGTATAAATATTACTGAGTAAATATTATTATTTACCTAATTAATTAATGAATAGAGGATGTGAAAGAACATTCAAGAAGAGAATACTGGTAAAATCAGGAAATCAAATTGTGGATGTTAGTGCTGCCTGTGATTCCACAATCCCAGACATGATCTAGCTTTCTGAGGTGAGTGGCTCGGGGCCATGCATTTGGTGATTTTATGTGGATAATTAGAGCCAAGAGAGGGTCGAGGGAGAAGTCAGAGTTTTAGCAAACATCATGCAACAATTAGCCAACCCCAAAAAAGTAGGGATTTCAAGTTCTATTTGTTGGACACAAATTTTGGTCTCAATGCTGTACTAACTGAAAAGATTTTTAATGTGATATGGTATAAGATTATGATTCTTCATAATCTGCTGCTTCCAGAAAGCTGTAACATTCAACGCTAAAAATAATTTTTTTCCGTAGCAAAAAAAAAAAGGTTGATACCCATCTAAGGAAAAAATCTGTTATTGTTTTAACTTATCTTAAATTATATGTATTTTTTGCAGCAAGGACACAATGGCTTTTAGAGATGTGACTTAAATCCAGCAGCAGAAAACATCCTTTGACTCTGAAGCTCACTGACTTTCTTATTATTTCCTCTTATTACTATATCATTCACTGTTCTCCATTTTTAGCCTTCTGGTTGTTTTCCGCAGATGAGTTCTATTTTAATTCTTTTTACTCAAATCAGCTCATGCCTTAATGAAACCCAGAGGAATATTTAGTCCATTGTTGCTGTATAGAACAGTGATCTGGTTAACTTTGAATCAGATTAAATGTTATTATTTAATCCCAAAGAGTAGAAATTTAACTCTTTGTTACTACTACATTATATATTACTATATATTAATGACACCTGATACTGATACAATCACCTTAATAGGAATTTCATGCAGAAGTTTTCATTTTTAAATTTGTTCTTTTACCCTTGTTACACGGAATGATTGGTCTTTGCTCTTCTCATGAAAAGTTTTCTTCCATGTGTTTCCTCAGTATTTATTTGAGTGCTTTATTTGTTTCCAGAACATATTTATTGTTGCTTCCTGATTTTATGTGTCTTCTCCTTTCTTATATTTTGTTTTATGGAATTTATATTTAAAACATAATAAATCTTATCTATTATGTCTCTGGCATATAATACATTGTTTTGTTAATATTATTGCTGGAAAATATTAAGTCATAATGTGACAAAGATGGCTGATATAAGCATTAGGAATCCTTCACTTAAAAACTATTTCTAATTTGTATTTACTGCTATGATATGAATCTGCAAGATTATCTCAATGTCTGCATTTTACATTAAAAAAAGAGACTCAAACAAGAAATTATATATTTTAAGCCAAATAGTCTCAGAATATGGATTTGAATGTCATTTTATTTTTGATATGATTCTCTTATCCTACCTATTGCCTTTTATTCTATACCACCAGATCAAAACAAACCATTCATCACCACCATCAAATCACACCTACATATATGTATACACATATTCACTAAGAATGAGCTACCCCTCATCTTCTGGCTGTAACTTTCAATCAAGACTCGATAATGAGAGATGCTTGGAAACTTTATTCTCTTTTCACTTGGACCTCAGTATAGCTAAATAATTTCTATGGTGGGATGCATATGTTTGAAATTTGTTCAACTCTTTTAGCTGGAATAAAATTGCTTCAGAATCTGTTAGCCAAAATAATCTTTCAGTAAAATAAACATAGTGAAGAATGAAAGGAAAAATTTCATTATAATTGGAAGTGGTGACAAGAACTGAAAGACCTATATATATGATTTTCATTTTCTTCATATGTTCATACGTAGGAGTCAAAAGCAAGAACTTCAACAGGATGCTCTCAAATACTTTAAGTGTCCCTGAATGTTGCATTCCATAGTTGTTCCCTGGGGAGCTAATGAACTTATTACCCCCCGGGACCTCCTTTACTCAAAATATTTCCTAGGGATTTTGGATATAGCTTGGTCCTTGGACTCAAAAGTGACTTCTGAACACTCATGATGTGACAGTGACATATTTAACCTTACTGAGCTCCAGTTTTTTCATATATACAGACAGACCTTAAAGTATTTTCATAATAATTAAGTCAGATAAATTATGAGAAATCTCAAGTACATAGTAAAAGTTTCATACTGCAAAAGAAAATATTCTTGTTTTAATGGACATTCTACATAATGCAGAATGGTAATATGCAATGTGGCAAATCAGTAGTTTTCACTACACTGGGCATGGAAATGATGTTGTTAATAGATGCTTTAAATGAAGAGTATACCATCATAGATTATTTAAGGGCTATTCCTATAAGACGTGGCCAGCTTAGCTACTGCCTCGTAAGATAGAATTTACCTTGAGCTATGATTTTATCAGGGTGGTACAAAATTCTGATCTGAGAATCACCCTGAGAATTCCTCTCTCAGGGTGATGACAGATGTTATGCTTACAAAAAGTTATGTGTAGTTTTGTGAATTCACAAATTTCTAGTCAGTGTGGAAAGTCAGCTTAACATCAAAATGTCCCTTAGCAAACTTCAAATCACCATGAGGTCAGCTAATTTTATAATTTGAACATTAATGATATCAAAATATGAGTGCCTCCACCATTGTCCTTTCAAAGGACCAGGATGACCATCCCAATTGTCAGGAAAAACGGCTGAAAGTTAAATCCAACATCTTGATCCAAACATCTGACCCAAATCTCTCACATTAATTATAATCATCTGGAGAAACATTTTTTCCTGCTTTGTCACTGCCACTAAACAATGAGTAATAAACTAAAACAAATACCAGTTTTAAAAGAGAGCTAAAAATGTTTTGGGGGTTTCAGAATCTTATAAACAAAACTCACAAGAGAAGAATATTTTCTAAAGAAATAAAATATTAAAATACAATGGGAATGTAACCACCAGCAAAAGATAATGCATTTGAAAATGCATAATATCTACCTAAAAGTGACAATTATTTTTAAAAATGTGTTTTTTTAGTAAGTGGTAAAATATTTTGATATTTCAAATAGAAAATTCAGGTTACACAATCATTTCAACTTTTTAAATGATTTAGTTAATGAGGAAATAGAGTGATTCCTCAAAGAGGAATTAAAAGCAAAATTACTATACTGATATGTAAAGAAAATCTTGAAAGGGAATTCATAAAATTCACTGTTATCAGCTATTCTGTCAAAAATTGTAAGTGATCATTTATATTTATATTACAGATGTAATTTTTAACTCTGATGTGATGTAATACCAGTATTTAAAGTTACTTCTTTATATTATGCTGTATTATGTTGCATATGAAAAAACAAAGTAAGTAAATAGGACTAAACAGAGAAGTTGGGCACAACACCTACATATTTTATTTTCCACACAGGGAGACTGACTGTTCTAAACTTTGCAGTGCAATACACACACACACACACACACACACACACATATACCCCCACACACACATATATACACACACACACACACACACATATATATATACTGTTATATATCAGTCATACTTTAGTATTTTAGTTTTGGAATGACAGGTCATGAACTGAATCTTTAAGGCAGGGGACAGGGGACATGGGACCTAGGTGACACATTTTCTCTTTTACATTACCATTAAGAGTAAGATAGCAGGAAGTGCAAAATGATAATGTAGCAATGTAACATTAAAGCACATGAGCAGAGAGACCTATGCTATCATACTTTACACTACTAAAGAATATTTAAGGAAAGAAAGGAGGGGCACAGGAAATCAAGAAGAATGTATAAATGAAACCACTTTCCTTCAGGAATAGTATCACTAATCAACCATAATATCCCAATATAATTTGTGCTGGCCTCTTTTTCCTCATATATGTGATGAAAGCCTTAGATAATAGGAAAAAAGTAACTGTTTTGTGAACACTCACTAAGTACCAGACACTATTTATTATAATGCATTCATTCAATCTCTCTTCAAAACAAACGTCTTCATTTTGCACACAGTACAATGAAAAGTGAAGTAGTTTTCTTAAGGTCGTAGAGCTAGGAAGTGTAGGGGACAGGCCTTGGAGCTCGGCAGTGTGACTCGAAAGCCTATGCTTGGCCACTACGCAATGTTGACAGTTTCTTAGGTTTGTTTCTCATCTGAGTGCTAATACTTCCATGATCCTGAAGAAAAGTTATGATACACATTTTATACTGGTGATCTTTACACTTGGAAACAAAGGAGATTAATGAGAAATTACATAAATGTTATTATTTATTTTTACAAATGCTTTCCAGGTGGTCACAATATGCATACATATGTTAGACACTGATGACCTCTGAAACTCTAGAATATAGATCAAGTTATTTATATACATTAATGCATACTCTTGGCCTAAGCATACCAAAATACATTAATTTGTGCTAACATTATTTAATTTCACATCCATTCCTATAAATTCAAAGTAAAAATAATGAATGCAATTCTGAAAACTATAAAATAGTCACATTTATAAGAAACCAATAATCAGATACCTGTTTAGATCTCTGACACATTTCACAATTAAATGCTTTTTCAATATTGAGTTGTATTTTCCTTGTCTATAAAATGTAATAGAGGAAGCCAACTCTTCTGTTTCTATTATTTCAGTTCTTAAAAACAAAACAAGGCATAAAGTATGTTTTACTCCACTTCAAGTTACCTATTGTATGCCACTGGTCTGAAAGAATGTATTAACAAAACCATATTCAGTATATCCTAATGGCTCACTGTCAACTCATTAGTGGCTTAGAATGAACAAAATCTGAAAAGAAAAAACAACACATTCACTTATAACTTCAATTTAGTTAGCTATTGTTTGACACTAGTCTAAAATAATGTACTAAAAAATATAGTCAGAGAATTTCCTTATTTTGTTCTCAAGTCATTAGTTGCATTAAATGATACCCTGTGCCCAAGCATCTATTTGAGCCATTGGTTATCTATAGAGCCTTTTGTTTTAGCCAAAGTATTTTGATGTTATTATGTAAGTGAGTGTATTTGTGGACAATAAGGAGGAAAGTGAGTGAAACAGAGTGCAGAGTGGGTAGGGTAGCACCTGTTTCCATCCAGAACCTTAGACAAGGCTGGAGCCTCAGTTTGAAGCAAAAACATATAATAAATAACTATAGTTTAGGACAGGGTGTTTTCTTGGGACAAGTTTTGCTGTACATGCCAAATGACAAAGAATGGCATGAAGTTAGGGGATGTTATTTTGTTCTATTTTGACTTTGACACCAACATTGCTCAGTAACTTCCAGGTGAGCAGCAGATGGCAATGTCAACCATGAGGTAATTTCAGAGTTTTTACAGTAAGGAATTATTGTATTAGCACCGAAGATGAACAGGAAGAACATGGCAGATGCATTCTGTGGGGGGAAGTGAGAATAACCAATTGATTGCTGTGTGATCTCATAAGGCATCCTTTCGGCACTTTCAGAAATAGACATGAGGAGATGTCTATTCATTAGACGATGAAGATTTTAATTGCCTACATATGCCAGTGGGAAAAGTAAAATGCATATTAGAAAATTGACACTAATGTGACTTCATTTGATTTCACTGGGTGTTGAGGTCTCAGAGCACTGAAGTTTCACTTATTTTAAATCAGTTGATAGACACCTCAAGAGTCACATTTATATTTTGAGGTATGTAACAGAAGTAAATTGGGCATTTGTTATCAGTTTGAATTGATAAATACAATATCTTAAAGTAATTGTTATCATTCTATGATTGAGATAGTTATTACTCATTTCTCTTTCATCTTGACATAATGGCTAACTAAGCAATGACTGTAATATCCCAGTTTCTTCTCATCTTTCTTACCAAATATCTCGGGCAGAGTGAGATGTTATGTTAGTGTACCTGAATATGCTTTGCAAATGTATAGTGTATCATAAAAGGGAAAAGAAAACATATTTTTCACCATTCATTCATTCATTTTCAGGGAAAATATACCAATATATAGCAATAGGCCATTTTGTCATTTGTGCATGCATGTTGCCTATGTGTAGGTGCTGTAGAGATCAAGTTTGTGTCTAATTTTTTTTATGTTTGAGACCCCTGATTACTATTATATTGGATGTGATGCCTTTTAAATATGTGATACAAAATGTGATTGTATGGAAATTGTTAAAGAGAATTTTTTAGTTTCCAAAATTCCTGACAAGATTCTAATTACTATAACTTTTAAATCAAAACATTATGAGTTTAAATTATCTTAGTTTTGTCCTTCATTCTATAGTTGTACAATGTAATCATGTAATTTTAGCTAAATTATGCTCTTTTGGCTAAGTTACGTAATTGTGACCTTTTGAAGTCTTCATAACTACAAAAATTCCTGAGAGAGATTTTATCTAAATTATAGATAGTTGGGCTCCCATTTAATTGTTGATCACATCTTTATTTCTATTATTTAATATTTGCTAATTATTGTCAATATACTATTCTCAATCTGTTATATACATTTTCTTATAATAATTGAAATCTCCTTTCTTAAGTAACTGTCTTTGATAGAGTTGGTTCATATTCAATGATAATATGTAGTTAATATGTTTTCTAGACTCCAGGAACCCAATGTTACAGAAAAACAGACATAGCTCATGTCCTCATAGAGCTTATACCTGAGTAGGGATAAAAAGACATTAACTAAAATATAAAGTCTGAGAAATGTTAAAATAAAGAAGCACAGGGCTATGAAAATATAAGGGGTTGGATCTAATGATAAGTGAGGTAAAATATGTTTGAGTAAAATTAAGTAAGAAAAGTTAACATTAAAACTCATTATAAATAGAGAAAATGGCAGTTATAATGGAAGTGGGCTGATACAAAGTGTGTATTATGAACAGCAAAAATCTTAATGTGGCTTAAGCCTAAAGAGCAAAGAGGAACAAAGCACAAGAGCTTGGAGTAAGGGCAAGTATAAATGAGGGCCACAGAGTATAAATTGGGCCATGCTAGGTTTTCCATGCTTTTCCATGAACTTTGGACTTTCAGACTTTCAGAGCAATGGGACAGAATTTAGCATTTTTTTTGTCAGAAAATCCATATTTTTAGATGCAAGGAGAAATTTTAGGAGACAGTTATAACAATCTAGTTAAAAGACAATGGTTTATAACTTCAGTGACATGGTGGATAGAAACTGATAGAATTAAAGGATGCTGACATAATAAAGTTAGTAAGTCTGGATAAGGAGTAAAGGAACTATGGATTTTTTAATGTATAAGATGGAATATGTGTTGATGGTATTCACTAAAACATGTAACACTGGAAGATAATACATTTGATGGGAGCAGGATCGAGGAGTTTGCTAACAGTTGATTTTGGACAGCTTAAATTTGAAGTCTTTATTTAAGTTTTTAAATTTAACTCACAGGTAAAATTGTGTGCAATTATTGTGTTCAACATGATATTTTGAAGTATATATACATTGAAGAGTGACTAAATCTAGATAATTCACATCTGCACGATCTCCCATAGTTATTATTTTTGTTGTGAGAAAAACTTAACAGTCACTCTCTTGGCATTTAAAAAAATACAAAGAAGTCTTTCTAGACATATCAAAAACGTGGTCTGGTAAAAATAAGTGGGAGAGGTTTCAAATATGTGGTTGACTATACTGATTTGAAACTAAAAAAAGGTATCTAGAAGGGAGACACAGATTTTTATAAAGATGAATACATCATTTTCATATAAATAATTTTCAAAGAGATGATAACTGAAGCTGTGCTCAGTATTGAGAACAACAGTTAGAAAATATGAAATGAGAAGAAAATAAGCCTAAGGAAGAGACTTGAGGAACTCCTGCAATGATTTTTATAACAGAGACTAAAATGAAAGGTCAGAGGGGATGTATAATTAAATTAAAAAAAAGATGTTTTAGAAGACATGGTAAATACTGTCAGATGCTGCTGAGATACCAAATATGTTCAGGATTGAAAATATGTCAGTTGAATGTTAAGCATAGAGATAATTTGTGTCCCTTATGAGAACTTTTTTTATTGATATGATCAAGTCAAAATTGAGATCATGGTTAATTTTTGAATAAATAAAAAAATATGGATGTAATAATTATATAAAGTTGTTTTCTGGAAATTTGGTTCTAAAGTAAATTTAGAAAGTGCTTTGTATATTTGGTTGATGAAATTAAAATGAGTTGAGCATATGTCAAAGTGAATGGGAAATATTCAGGTGAAAAGAAAAGTTAACTGATTATATAAAGTTTCTGAGAAGAGGGAGGATTTACATTAGATAGGAGGAGGAAACTTCCTTTATTTTATAGTAGCAGAAGAAGAGATGATAAAAAGTTTTGTATGTTTGGATCCTGAGGATTTGCAAAGCTTTGAGTCAGCATCTTTCTTACAATATTCTATTATGCATACTTCAATAATATCACTAGTAAGAATATACAGTATAGATCTTCCACATAATTTGAAGTCATTCTACCTAGATTTATATAGATTAGAGAAAACTACACTTGGTCCTGAAATTAAAACAATGAATTTTGTCCAGCATTAAAATACATATTTTAAATAAATGTATTAAAAATAGGAAAATCAAAATATAGATAGGTGGAGTGCAAATACTAAAAGTAAATATTGCCTCAACTTTCAGTAATATATGTATTTGTTAAAGAGGGGGGTTAAAATGTAAAATTATTTCTTATTTGTGAGTCACGGGCAAAAATTATTTGACTGGGTGGTACCACAATCAATATATTACCTTTAATAATTTGTTTCCTGTGAATGTGAATTATGGTGCCAATGATATTTTATTCTTTTGTAATTTTTAAAATTTTCTAGGCAAATTGTCTACATAATCCTAGTAGAGAAACAAATTCTACAAGTCACATCAAATATTATCCAGTAACATCATTATTTAAGCTAAGAGTTCTAAAAGATCACTCTGTTAAAATCTTTTGAAGTCAGTAACAAATCTTTTATTTCTGAAAGCCTTTTCTCATCCAGCATGATGCAATTTTAATATATGTATCTGTGGTTTGCTAAGATGTTAGAATAAAAGGAGAGTTCATCTCCTTTAGTTGGTCTGTAGAGGAAGTTTCTCTTGTACACTCAAACCCATAAGCTTATTAATCATCCTAAGGTTTTTGTCAAAAGGAGTGTGTGGTTTAATGATGCAATTATGTCCATGGATATCTGGGTTCTGTTTTCAGTTTTCTGCCTAGATTATGTTTGGTGACTTAGGGAGTCATTTAACTTAGGGTAGTTTTATTTTGTATGTTAATCCTATTTACAGATTATTCCAATGATAGAAAATTATGTTATACTAGTTAAGCAATGACTGAATAAAATTTCTATGACTCTGGAAGGAATTCCTGAGGATAATGAACAATGCTTGTTGGTTTTAGATGTATTAACTATTAACAACATATGGCATAATCACATTTCTTTGTTTTTTCATTTTTAATTTCCGTGGGTACACAGGTCTATATATTTATGGGGTACATGAGATGTTTTGATACAGGCATGCAATGTGTAATAACTGCATCATAGAAAACTGGGGTATCTATCCCCTCACGTATTTATCCTTTGTGTTACAAACAATCCAATTATACTTTTTTTAGTTTTTTAAAAATAGCTATAGTCCCCCTGTTGTGCTATAAAATTCTAGGTATTGTTCATTCTTTCTAACTATTTCTTTTGTACCCGTTAACCATCCTCACCTCCCCCGCAATTCTCAATACATTTCCCAGACTCTAGTAACCATCCTTCTACTCTCTATGTGTTCAATTGTTTTCATTTTTAGATCCTACAAATAAGTGAGAATATTTGATGTTTGTCTTTCTTTTCCTGGCTTATTTCACTTAACGTAATGTCCTTCAGGTCCATCCATGTTGTCGTAAATGACAGGATCTCCTTTTTTATGGCCGAATAGTACTCCTTTCATTGTATATAAGTACCACATTTCTTTTAACCATTTATCTGTTGGTGAACACTTAGGTTGCTTCCAAATCTTAGCTATTGTGAAAAGTACTTCAATAAACATAAGAGTGCAGATAGGTCTTTGATGTACTGATTTCTTTTCTTTGAGGCATATACCCAGCAATGGGATTGCTAGATCATATGGTAGCTCTATTTTTACTTTTTTGATGAACCTCCAAATTGTTCTCCATAGTGGTTGCAGGAATTTACATTTCCACCAATGGACTACAAGGGTTCCCTTTTCTCCACATTCTCTCCAGTATTTATTATTGCCTATCTTTTGGATAGATATTTCCTAATGTACTATAACTACAGAATGATTTCTGCTCCTTTTTAAACTCCTACACACTCAACTCTTTCTAGATAAATTGATTCACATCATATGTGATTGCCATGAAAACTTCTAATTGCTGGCTTATAGAACTGTTTCCAAATCTCTAGATGATATGGAATGTGAATATATATATATATTTTATATATTAAATATAAATATATATATATTTACAAATATTTACAAATCCCTCATGACTAAGATGCTCAGGGGTTTTAAGTGACAAATGTAGAAATCAAAGTAGGATAGTTGAAATGTTACTTGCAAAACATATAGATGAAGGGTTTTGAGCTTAGCAAGTATATATGGACTGGCATCTCCCAAATTCATTTGATTTTGTTTTCTTTGAAGCGTATACGTGAACACTGCTCAGTTGGATGCCCTCTAATAAATACCAGAAAGAATGTCCTTTGGAGTTCTGTGGCTGCATATTGAGTCCTAAGAATGTAAATTTTATAAAGTTATTAATAATCAATGAAGAAAAATGCTGCAAAATTGTTGCTACAATATAACAAATTTAGACTGATTATTTAGCCAGGATATTGAAATGAGAACTCTACTGAGCAATGCTGGCCTCTATCCACTACCAATATGTCTCATGAATGGGAAGTTAAGTGGTTTTTGTTCCAAGTTACTGATATTCTGAGTTATTTGTTACCATAGATAGCAGAAAATATAAGCAAACACTCATTGTAAGAGGAGGCATGTTTAATTTCATGTAGCAATGAAACTTTTAATTTGGAAGAAACATACTTTTTTATTTTTATGTGAAAGGCGAAGACAAAGAGAAAGATTTTTTAAAATATAAAAATGCTAAGAATTTGGAAGTTGATCCTAAAACTGAGGTTATTTAGTGTTCTCTCCCATAGGAAAGCTTCACTGAATATATAATTTGCAGTTGATAGTCCTTTAAGTTGAATGTTTTAAAAATGTTGGGCCAATTTTTTTCTAGCCTTCCTGGTTTCAAATGACAAGCCCACTGTTAATGGAATTGTTTTACTCCTATAGGCAATGTGAAATTTCTCTGCAGCTTTCATTATTTTTTCTTTACTTTTAAAAAGTTTCATTATAATGTCTTGTCCTGCATTTCTTTGGGTTTCTCCTACTTTGGGTTTGCTCAGTTTCTGAAGCCTATAAGCTCATGTCTTTTTGCCAAGTTTGGGAAGTTTTCAGCCATTATTTATTTAAATACTCTTTTAGACTCATTCTCCTTTTTCATACCTTCCTGTACTCCAATTATAGAAAAGTTGGATTTTATTAATTGTCCCACAAGTTCTTAAAGATCTGTTTATTTTCTATTTTTCCCTTTGGTTATTGTACTGTATTTGTTCTATAATTTTCATTTTTTAAAAATAACATTTCATTGTTGAGATTTCCCATTAATTTGAAGACAATTTGTAATTATTTCTTTAGATGTTTTTATTGTTATTTATTTATTTTTTCAGACAAGGTCTCACTCTGTTGCAGAGGCCGGAGTGCAGTGGTGTAATCACAGCTCACTGCAGGCTTAACCTCCTGGACCCAAGTGATCCTTTTCCCTCAGTCTCCCAATTAGCTGGGACTATACACACAAGCCACCATGCCCAGCTAATTTTTAAATTTATTTTTTAGTGATGGGGGTCTCACTGTGTTGTTTAAACTCATTTCAAACTCCTGGGCTCATGTAATCCTCGTGCCTCAGGCTCCCAAAGTGTTGGGATTACAGGCATGAGTATCATGCCCGGCCTGAGGTATTTTATTATGACTGAGTTAAAATACTTGTCAAATAATTATAACATCTGATTCATCTCAGTGTTGACATCAGTTCTCTTTTTCCATTCCAGCTGTGATTTTCCTGTTTTTTTGGTATGATGGGTGAATTTTTTTTTTATCGTGTCCTGAACATTGTGTCTATTATTTAAGGAGCCCCTGGGTTCTATTTGAATCTTTTGTTTAGAAGGCAGTCATCTGCTTGGTTTCATTAAGCAGGTCTTGAGCTACCTTTGTAGGTTTTGGTTCCAGTTACAATTTAATTTCCAGAGGCTTCTTGGGGCTATTTTGGTCTGCTTTGTTGATTTGGTGCTTTTGGTCTCCTGCAGGTTCCTGCTGCTGCTGCCTGAAGTTTTTTAGGTTAGGCCACCTGCTATCTGTCAGAGGGGGGAAGAAATCCCTGATGCATGGGGAAGAAGAGGCTTTGTGAACTAGCCAACTTAATGTGGTGAGATCTCCCTCGCTGGTTCTTTTCAGCCATCCATAGACTCTTGATGGGGAAGAGGAATCTCTAGCCTGTTGGGGAAGGAGAGTACTTCCCAGGTCAGGAGATTGTTGTGGTTGTCTTTCCCTTTCCAGTGTTGTGTAGCCACCTATTTTTAGCTTCTGACTGACACTCCATGCCCATACTATCAGGCTTATTGGTGTTGTCAGGAAGACCTCAATTTGACATAAGTAAAGAACAAACCTATCTGAGCAGCCCTCTCCGGCTTACTGGAAGGTTGAAAAATGCTGGGTCTGTAGTGTTTTCTGTTTTGTGGGCTCGTAAGTTGCCCTGTTGTTATGTCTGTCTTCTAATCCTGGAGTCTCTAGTTAGCATACCTTCCTCTTTTCACCTTTTAATATTCTCCATTGTTTGCCTATGGAATTATTTCCTAGGCTCACAGTTGTACTTAATGGAGAGAACCAGGAAGAGATGAGCCGGTGCTGTCATGTTGGAATGGAGGCTTTGTAGATGTAATTTAAAATAGTTTTTAACTTGAGAAACTCTCTTTAATAGCCAAAGACAAATCATTTTATTAAAATTGGCCTCTGAATTGCATTGTGTGGCAAATTGGCCAACCTAAAAAATTAATTATCATTATCAACCAAACATTTAAAAATTTTAAGCAACTATTTAAAGCTTCTGTTTTAGTCAGAATAGGTATACAAGTAAGTTTCCTTTCCCACTAGTTTGCTTATAACTCATGTCATTCCAAACATAATACCCCATCGGTATTAGTTTCCTGGATATGCCATAACAAAGTGCTTAAAAAAAAGAAATTTATCACCTGATAGTTCTCAAGTCTAGATGTCTGAAATCATGGTGTCAGAGAGATTTTTCTTTCTGAGGTCTACGAGGTAAGGGTCTTCCCTTTGTGCCTCTGTGTTGAAATTTTCTTGTTTTAAAAAGAAACACTGATATTGGTTTGGGGACTACCTTGATGACCTCATTTTAATTTGATTGCCTCTGTGAAGACCCTATATCTAAGACTGAATTCTGAGATACTGGGGGTTATGGTTTTAATGCGTGAATTGTGGCGATACACATTTCAACCATAGCACCATCTCAGTTAATGTTAACTCTGTTCTTCCAAATCATTCCAAAGTCTTGGTGTTCCCCTTGACTAGTCTCTTTATTCTGCATTCCACATGTGATACATCATTGAAACTGTATCCATCTGGGCCAGCCTCATGCCTGTAATCCCAGAACTTTGGGAGGCCAAGGGGGGTGGATCTGGGGTCAGAAGTTTGAGACCAGTCTGGCCAACATGGTGAAACCTCATCTCTACTAAAAATATAAAAATCAGCCAGGTGTGGTGGCGGGTGCCTGTAATCCCAGCTACTCAGGAGGCTGAGGCAGGAGAATGGCTTGAACCTGGGATGTGGAGGTTGCAATGAGCCGAGATGGTGCCACTGCACTCCAGCCTGGGTGACAGAGTGAGACTCCCTCTCAAAAAAAAAAAAAAAAAAAAAAAAAAACTGCATCCATCTTCAAATTATATAAGCATTTTCATCCACTTTCTATTACCTCAGCAGCTATTACTCTGTTTCAAGTCATTATTAGGTCTGTTCTGAATTATTGCAGTAGCTGTTTAATTTGTCTTCCTGCTTCTACCCTTAATGTCTATAGACTATTCTCAACATAGCAGCCAGAGTGACATTGTCAACATGTATGTGAGATCATGTTACAAAATCTCCCAATGGTTTTCATTACATTGGCCTCCTACCTTTACATGATTTCTCTTTGATTCCTTGGACTTCATACCTTGCTGCTTTCCTCCTTGCATCTTCTCCAGCCATCCAGATTCCTTATTAATCTCTACACTTTTTGGGGTTGGTCTTGCTTCAGGGCTTTTTTGCTTGCTGGTTTCTTGGACCAGTGTGTCCTTCACTTGTATATCTAAAAGACTATCTCTCTCATTTCTTTTAAGCCATTACTCAAGTCACCTTCTCAGTGAGGACTTTCCTAGCACATTGTCTTAAATATTACCCTTTCAAGGCATTTCATGACTTCATCTGCTTCTTTATTAACATAATATATATTTTACTTTTTAATCTGTCACTTTTGTTTCTCTTCCATCAGAATGAAAAATGTATAAGGTTATGAACTTTGTATCATTTCTTATATTACCACATCCTCGCTATATTAGAGTATTGGTCAAATAATGTTTACTTGATAACTTTTTGTTGAATGAATGAATATATGAGAAAAAAATTCAAGATGCCAGTTATTTAGTCCTAGATATTGGGTAGAAAGTCAAAATGGGCAAGTTACAAATAGGAGTTATAGTTTTTGCTGACACAGATCAAAAAAGTATGTATCTGCACTTTATAAACAAATGTTGATAAATTAGAATAAAAATATTCACCTATATTAAATTATACATTTAAAAAATAATTTACAGTGTTATTTGTAACTCTGTATTATAATACAACTAGCTACCTTTTATTATACTTAATAACTCTTGGATGTGCTTATCAACTCATGGCTTTTCTCACAGTCAATTCATTTCAAATTTACAATAGTAAAATGACAATTTATAAATGCTTAATTTGCACAAGTTTGGCTAGTGGAAGCACCTTTAAATTGAATTATAATCCTTTCACTTATTCCTTTAACATTGTTGGCAATAGGATATTCCCAACCCTTCATTTTTTATACTCCCAAGGCCTGAAATGAGGCATCTTCAAAGGAGACTTGGTTCCCTTCAGTGGAGTATGTTAGTAGAAGCCATGTGCTCACAAGTGAGTTGGTGGTGGGTGAGTGTTTTGCCCCTGATACTGCTACTAGAGCACTTTTATGAGTGAAATAGCTTTAAATATATTTCCTTTCTGGCTATGAGTTCACATTGATCTTCAAAATTTAACATATCATATTACTTGCCTTACTTTTTAAATAGTGTGTGGTTTCATTGATTACCAGTGTTTTCTTTACATTGACATTTGGCATACCAGATGTCAGGCTGAGTTAGCAATAAAGACAACCTAGGGCATAGGAGGTAATATGGGAGCCAGGAATGAACTGGATGACTGGAATATCAATGTAATTTAATAAGTTATTCTTTTACGAACCTCTGTCAAATAACAACTCTGCTCCCCTGCTTATGATACCCACTGTTGTTTTTATTTTGCTTTTTTTAATACCAGAGAAAAAATATTTTACAATTTGTTATGTTTTCTTCACTAGCGTCTAAACTCTGGAGGAGACTATATTTTGTTCACTCTCATCTTCCCATTGCCTGAAATAGTGCTTGGGGTCGGGGGGAGCCAAGATGGCCAAATAGGAACAGCTCCGGTCTACAGCTCCCAGCGTGAGCGACGCAGAAGATGGGTGATTTCTGCATTTCCATCTGAGCTTTGAAGAGAGCAGTGGTTCTCCCAGCACGCAGCTGGAGATCTGAGAACGGTCAGACTGCCTCCTCAAGTGGGTCCCTGACCCCTGACCCCCGAGCAGCCTAACTGGGAGGCACCCTCCAGCAGGGGCAGACTGACACCTCACACGGCCGGGTACTCCAACAGACCTGCAGCTGAGGGTCCTGTCTGTTAGAAGGAAAACTAACAAACAGAAAGGACATCCACACCAAAAACCCATCTGTACATCACCATCATCAAAGACCAAAAGTAGATAAAACCACGAAGATGGGGAAAAAACAGAGCAGAAAAACTGGAAACTCTAAAAAGCAGAGCACCTCTCCTCCTCCAAAGGAACGCAGTGCTTCACCAGCAATGGAACAAAGCTGCACGGAGAATGACTTTGACGAGCTGAGAGAAGAAGGCTTCAGATGATCAAATTACTCTGAGCTATGGGAGGAAATTCAAACCAAAGGCAAAGAAGTTGAAAACTTTGAAAAAAGTTTAGAAGAATGTATAACTAAAATAACCAATACAGAGAAGTGCTTAAAGGAGCTGATGGAGCTGAAAACCAAGGCTGGAGAACTACGTGAGGAATGCAGAAGCCTCAGGAGCCGATGCGATCAACTGGAAGAAAGGGTATCAGTGCTGGAAGATGAAGTGAATGAAATGAAGCGAGAAGGGAAGTTTAGAGAAAAAAGAATAAAAAGAAATGAGCAAAGCCTCCAAGAAATATGGGACTATGTGAACAGACCAAATCTACGTCTGATTGGTGTATCTGAAAGTGACGGGGAGAATGGAACCAAGTTGGAAATCACTCTGCAGGATATTATCCAGGAGAACTTCCCCAATCTAGCAAGGCAGGCCAACATTCAGATTCAGGAAATACAGAGAACACCACAAAGATACTCCTCGAGAAGAGCAGCTCCAAGACACATAATTGTCAGATTCACCAAAGTTGAAATGAAGGAAAAAATGTTAAGGGCAGCCAGAGAGAAAGGTTGGGTTACCCACAAAGGGAAGCCCATCAGACTCACAGCAGATCTCTCGGCAGAAACTCTACAACCCAGAAGAAAGTGGGGGCCAATATTCAACAGTCTTAAAGAAAAGAATTTTCAACCCAGAATTTCATATCCAGCCAAACTAAGCTTCATAAGTGAAGGAGAAATAAAATACTTTACAGACAAGCAAATGCTGAGAGATTTTCTCACCACCAGGCCTGCCCTAAAAGAGCTCCTGAAGGAAGCGCTAAACATGGAAAGGAACAACCAGTACCAGCCGCTGCAAAATCATGTCAAAATGTAAAGATCATCGAGACTAGGAAGAAACTGCATCAACTATCGAGCAAAATAACCAGCTAACATCATAATGACAGGATCGAATTCACACATAACAATATTAACTTTAAATGTCAATGGACTAAATGCTCCAATTAAAAGACACAGACTGGCAAATTGGATACGGAGTCAAGACCCATCAGTGTGCTGTATTCAGGAAACCCATCTCACGTGCAGAGACACACATAGGCTCAAAATAAAAGGATGGAGGAAGATCTACCAAGCAAATGCAAAACAAAAAAAGGCAGGGGTTGCAATCCTAGTCTCTGATAAAACAGACTTTAAACCAACAAAGATCAAAAGAGACAAAGAAGGCCATTACATAATGCTAAAGGGATCAATTCAACAAGAAGAGCTAACTATCCTAAATATAAATGCACCCAATACAGGAGCACCCAGATTCATAAAGCAAGTCCTGAGTGACCTACAAAGAGACTTAGACTCCCACACATTAATAATGGGAGACTTTCACACCCCACTGTCAACATTAGACAGATCAACGAGACAGAAAGTCAACAAGGATACCCAGGAATTGAACTCAGCTCTGCACCAAGCGGACCTAATAGACATCTACAGAACTCTCCATCCCAAATCAACAGAGTATACATTTTTTTTCAGCACCACACCACACCTATTCCAAAATTGACCACATACTTGGAAGTAAAGCTCTCCTCAGCAAATGTAAAAGAACAGAAATTATAACAAAGTATCTCTCAGACCACAATGCAATCAAACTAGAACTCAGGATTAAGAATCTCACTCAAAACCGCTCAACTACATGGAAACTGAACAACCTGCTCCTGAATGACTACTGGGTACATAACGAAATGAAGGCAGAAATAAAGATGTTCTTTGAAACCAACGAGAACAAAGACACAACATACCAGAATCTCTGGGACACATTCAAAGCAGTGTGTAGAGGGAAATTTATAGCACTAAATGCCCACAAGAGAAAGCAGGAAAGATCCAAAATTGACACCCTAACATCACAATTAAAAGAACTAGAAAACCAAGAGCAAACACATTCAAAAGCTAGCAGAAGGCAAGAAATAAGTTAAACCAGAGCAGAACTGAAGGAAATAGAGACACAAAAAACCCTTCAAAAAATTAATGAATCCAGCAGCTGGTTTTTTGAAAGGATCAACAAAATTGATAGACCGCTAGCAAGACTAATAAAGAAAAAAAGAGAGAAGAATCAAATAGACGCAATAAAAAATGATAAAGGGGATATCACCACCGATCCCACAGAAATACAAACTACCATCAGAGAATACTACAAACACCTCTACGCAAATAAACTAGAAAATCTAGAAGAAATGGATACATTCCTCTACACATACACTTTCCCAAGACTAAACCAGGAAGAAGTTGAATCTCTGAATAGACCAATAACAGGAGCTGAAATTGTGGCAATAATCAATAGCTTACCAACCAAAAAGAGTCCAGGACCAGATGGATTCACAGCATAATTCTACCAGAGGTACAAGGAGGAACTGGTACCATTCCTTCTGAAACTATTCCAATCAATAGAAAAAGAGGGAATCCTCCCTAATTCATTTTATGAGGCCAGCATCATCCTGATACCAAAGCCGGGCAGAGACACAACCAAAAAAGAGAATTTTAGACCAATATCCTTGATGAACATTGATGTAAAAATCCTCAATAAAATACTGGCAAACCGAATCCAGCAGCACATCAAAAAGCTTATCCACCATGATCAAGTGGGCTTCATCCCTGGGATGCAAGGCTGGTTCAATATACGCAAATCTATAAATGTAATCCAGCATATAAACAGAGCCAAAGACAAAAACCACATGATTATCTCAATAGATGCAGAAAAGGCCTTTGACAAAATTCAACAACCCTTCATGCTAAAAACTCTCAATAAATTAGGTATTGATGGGACGTATCTCAAAATAATAAGAGCTACCTATGACAAACCCACAGCCAACATCATACTGAATGGGCAAAAACTGGAAGCATTCCCTTTGAAAACTGGCACAAGACAGGGATGCCCTCTCTCACCACTCCTATTCAACATAGTGTTGGAAGTTCTGGCCAGGGCAATTAGGCAGGAGAAGGAAATAAAGGGTATTCAATTAGGAAAAGAGGAAGTCAAATTGTCCCTGTTTGCAGACGACATGATTGTGTATCTAGAAAACCCCATTGTCTCAGCCCAAAATCTCCTTAAGCTGATAAGCAACTTCAGCAAAGTCTCAGGATGCAAAATCAAGAACAAAAATCACAAGCATTCTTATACACCAACAACAGACAAACGGAGAGCCAAATCATGAGTGAACTCCCATTCACAATTGCTTCAAAGAGAATAAAATACCTAGGAATCCAACTTACAAGGGATGTGAAGGACCTCTTCAAGGAGAACTACAAACCACTGCTCAAGGAAATAAAAGAGGATACAAAGAAATGGAAGAACATTCCATGCTCATGGGTAGGAAGAATCAATATCGTGAAAATGGCCATACTGCCCAAGGTGATTTACAGATTCAATGCCATCCCCATCAAGCTACCAATGACTTTCTTCACAGAATTGGAAAAAACTACTTTAAAGTTCATAGGGAACCAAAAAAGAGCCCACATCGCCAAGTCAATCCTAAGCCAAAAGAACAAAGCTGGAGGCATCACACTACCTGACTTCAAACTATACTACAAGGCTACAGTAACCAAAGCACCATGGTACTGGTACCAAAACAGAGATATAGATCAATGGAACAGAATGGAGCCCTCAGAAATAACGCCACATATGTACAACTATCTGATCTTTGACAAACCTGAGAAAAACAAGCAATGGGGAAAGGATTCCCTATTTAACAAATGGTGCTGGGAAAACTGGCTAGCCATATGTAGAAAGCTGAAACTGGATCCCTTCCTTACATCTTATACAAAAATCAATTCAAGATGGATTAAAGACTTAAACGTTAGACCTAAAACCATAAAAACCCTAGAAGAAAACCTAGGCATTACCATTCAGGACATAGGCATGGGCAAGGACTTCATGTCTAAAACACCAAAAGCAATGGCAACAAAAGCCAAAATTGACAAATGGGATCTCATTAAACTAAAGAGCTTCTGCACAGCAAAAGAAACTACCATCAGAGTGAACAGGCAACCTACAAAATGGGAGAAAATTTTTGAAACCTACTCATCTGACAAAGGGCTAATATCCAGAATCTACAATGAACTCAAACAAATTTACAAGAAAAAAACAAACAACCCCATCAAAAAGTGGGCAAAGGACATGAACAGACACTTCTCAAAAGAAGACATTTATGCAGCCAAAAAACACATGAAAAAATGCTCACCATCACTGGCCATCAGAGAAATGCAAATCAAAACCACAATGAGATACCATCTCACACCAGTTAGAATGGCAATCATTAAAAAGTCAGGAAACAACAGGTGCTGGAGAGGATGTGGAGAAATAGGAACACTTTTACACTGTTGGTGGGACTGTAAACTAGTTCGACCATTGTGAAAGTCAGTGTGGCGATTCCTCAGGGATCTAGAACTAGAAATATCATTTGACCCAGCCATCCCATTATTGGGTATATACCTAAAGGACTATAAATCATGCTGCTATAAAGACACATGCACACGTATGTTTATTGCAGCATTATTCACAATAGCAAAGACTTGGAACCAACCCAAATGTCCAACAATGATAGACTGGATTAAGAAAATGTGGCACATATACACCATGGAATACTATGCAGCCATAAAGAATGATAAGTTCATGTCCTTTGTAGGGACATGGATGAAATTGGAAATCATCATTCTCAGTAAACTATCGCAAGGACAAAAAACCAAACACCGCATATTCTCACTCATAGGTGGGAACCGAACAATGAGAACACATGGACACAGAAAGGGGAACATGACACTCCCGGGACTGTTGTGCAGTGGGGGGAGGGGGGAGGGATAGCATTGGGAGATATACCTAATGCTAGATGACGAGTTAGTGGGTGCAGCGCACCAGCATGGCACATGTATACATATGTAACTAACCTGCACAATGTGCACATGTACCCTAAAACTTAAAGTATAATAATAAGTTAAACATTAAAAAATTAAAAAAAAGAGTGCTTTCCATGTAATAGTTTTCTAATTAATGTGTTGAATGAATTAATAAATTTGTTATTCCTTACAAAACCCATAGGTTAGATGATGTCATCAAAATAAAATGTTTTTAGAGAAAAGAGCTGAAGCTGAAGAAAGTGGATAAGTCGTATTGTGTTTCGGGCAAAGAGAAGAAAAATCCAAAACGGTGGCTAAGAGGAAGCCACCAGATATCAACGAAACAAACAAAAATGGGAGTGATAGAGGCCAGAAAGGAAAGGAATTCTACATTGAGATTTATGGCCAATAATATCAACTATTTTTAGCGGTCATTACGTTTGGCAATGCATAGTCCTGTTTTGAATTTGGCAAGACCAGTTTAAATACTAGTTTCTGAAGGAGTAAATGAAAAGTTAGGCCATAAAGAGAATGCATATCTAGTATTTAAGAGTAAGACTATAGAATAGTAAATAGAAATGTGGAGTCTCTGAATTTTTGTGTGTGTGTATTTTCTTATTAAAAGAGAGTGGTTTGAGCATGCTTTATATTTTGAGAATAAAGATTCAGTGAGGGGTTGAGCTAAGAAAACAAAATAATTTGTTGCTCAAGAGTAAGTGGTATGAAATCTAAAGCGTAAGAAAAGGGTTGCCCTAAATCTGATAAAAGTATCTGGAGTTTTTTTTTAGCTCTCCTACTACCAAAAAGTATTACAGTCTGTTATTTTTTTAATACTTTACCAGTGTGTCCGGAATTGGCGGGTTCTTCGTCTCACTGACTTCAAGAATGAAGCTGCGGACCCTCCCGGTGAGTGTTACAGTTCTTAAAGGCGGCGTGTCCGGAGTTTGTTCCTTCTGATGTTCAGATGTGTTCGGAGTTTCTTCCTTCTGGTTGGTTCGTGGTCTTGCTGGCTCAGGAGTGAAGCTGCAGACCTTCGTGGTGAGTGTTACAGCTCTGAAGGTGGCACGTCTGGAGTTGTTCATTCCTCCCGGTGGGCTCGTGCTCTCGCTGGCTCAGGAGTGAAGTTGCAGACCTTCGTGGTGAGTGTCACGGCTCATAAAGGCAGTGTGGACCCGAAGAGTGAGCAGTAGCAAGATTTATTGCAAAGAGCAAAAGAACAAAGCTTCCACAGTGTGGAAGGGGACCGGAGCCGGTGGCCACTGCTGCCTCTGGGCAGCCTGCTTTTATTCTTATCTGGCCCCACCCAAATCCTGCTGATTGGTAGAGCCCAGTGGTCTGTTTTGACAGGGCACTGATTGGTGCCTTTACAATCCCTGAGCTACACACAGAGGTTCTCCAAGTCCCCACCAGAGTAGCTAGATACAGTGTCGATTGGTGCATTCACAAACCCTGAGCTAAACACAGGGTGCTGATTGGTGTGTTTACAAACCTTGAGCTAGATCCAGACTGCCCATTGGTGTATTTACAATCCCTGACCCAGACATAAAGGTTCTCCAAGTTCCCACCAGACTCAGGAGCCCCGCTGGTTTCACCCAGTGAATCTCACACTGGGGCTGCAGGTGGAGCTGCCTGCCAGTCCCACGCCCTGAGCCCACACTCCTCAGCCCTTGGGTGGTCGATGGGACTGGGCGCCACGGAGCAGGGGGTGGCGCTTGTTGGGGAGGCTCCGCTGCACAGGAGTCCACGGCGGGGGCGGGGGCTCAGGCATGGCGGGCTGCAGGTCCCGAGCCCTGCCCCTCAGGAAGGCAGCTAAGGCCCGAGCGCAGCGCCGGTGGGCCGGCAGTGCTGGGGGACCCAGTACACCCTCCGCAGCCGCTGGCCTGGGTGTTAAGCCCCTCATTGCCGGGGCCGGCAGGGCCCGCCGCTGCTCCGAGTGCGGGGTCCGCCAAGCCCACGCCCACCCGGAACCCCAGCTGGCCCACAAGCGCCCCGGGCAGCCCCGGTTCCCGCTCGCGCCTCTCTCTCCACAACTCCCTGCGAGCTGAGGGAGCCGGCTCCGGCCTTGGCCAGCCCAGAAAGGGGCTTCCACAGTGCAGCGGTGGGCTGAAGGGCTCCTCAAGTGCCAACAAAGTGGGAGCCCAGGCAGAGGAGGCGCCCAGAGCGAGCGAGGGCTGCGAGGACTGCCAGAATGCTGTCACTTCTCACCAGGTGATTTTAATACGCAGCTGTTTTGAAGATCACTGACCAACATAGAAAAAAACAAAATAATCAAAGTATAAATTATTATAAATATTAAAATATTAGCAAGATGGCTCAGTTCATGTCATTAGCAATATGTAGTAGAATATATAATAGAATAGTGTATGTTTATATCAGAAGTTATACATTGAAAATAAAAATTTCAATGGAAAACAAATATAATTTGCAAAATCCGGGAACTATAGAGTAATATGTTAAGTAACTATTACCTTGAGAAAAGAATATACTACAAGACTTTAAACTGGGAAAAGTAATTACATTTTATTAAAAGACACAAATAAGACTATTTCTTACTTCTAGTTGAGATGGTCTGATAGTTTGTAAATGTCAGCTTCACAGAAGTATCCCTTAAACTTACTGTAGTCCCAAACAAATTCTGTAGCTAGATTTAGAATTCACCCAAAAATTATTCTGAAGTTTTCTAAAACGTATTCTAAGAAAAATGTGGAGGAATAAAGTTCTCCGTAGCTAAGTCAACTTAGATGCAAAGTAGATAGTGTGGCAAAGAAACTGCCTAGCAGATAGTAAAATAAATTATAAGACAACCTTAGTAAAATTTTGATGTTGATGTTGTAAGTCCAGGCAAGAAGACTAATGGTATAAAAACAGTTCAGAGATGTACACTTGTATATTTTGGAAATTTACGATTGTGTAGTAAATGTTGTTTTGAAACCTAGTTAATATAGGGAGAAAAATAAAACTGTGTATAAGTGGATTGCTGCTGGACTAAAAACTTAAATATAAGAGAGATAACTAGAAAGGTAATACAATTAAAAATAGGAGAAAAAGACCTTCAGGAGACAATGGTTTGTTTGCGTGGTATTTGATTAGCACCAAGCATAAGATAAGAATTGATTATATCAAAAGTGTAAACATTGACAAAGGTAACAGAGAGAAGGCCCATTGTGCAAAGATATTTAGAACATTTAAAATTCACATGAGACTAATATCTAGAATTTATGATAAAATCCTATAACTCAATGAGGAAAAGTAAATAATAAGTGATGAAAAATTGGGTAAAGAACTTTAATAGACAGCTCACAAAAGGAGAAAAGCGGTTGGCTAACCAGTAAGTAAAAGTTATACTTAAATTTATTAATGATCACAGAAATGCCAATTAAAATAGCATAAAAAATTGCCAATGGCATTAATTCACAGAACAAAAACAGAGCATTTAAGTAACACATGAAATTATGTCACTAACATAATATTTGTTAATCTTTACTAGGAATCAAAGTACTACCAGAGACACAGAGGCCCAGAATTAGTTTTGCAACTTGGTAAGAACACATAACCATTTTTTCCACTAAGAGAATATTAAGACATTTTTATTCATATATTATGATAAAACTCTTATGAAATTCTTTCTGACAACTTTGTTTGGCTACTGTCTCTTAAGTTTTGAAAGTTTCATGGGAAATTTCACATGAAAATTGTTTTGCTGGGAACACCTTTTCATATTGTGAATTTTTTCTCTTGTCTCTTCCTTTAGCCTGTAGACATTATTTAGCTTTCTATTTAATTTTGTTGGTCTACTTATTAATTGTTTCCTATTTTAGTCTACTGAATTCTGCTGTGAGAAATAATACTCATAAAATACTATTGTGAGAAAAGTACTCATAAAATATTATAATGAGAAAACTATTACCATGATTAGATTTTTCTCTATCATTCTTAGATGTCCAGTATCCAATCCTTTGCTGTCCAATATTTCTTCTTTCTCACAATCTGCTTACCTACTTTCACTTTGTTTTCAGTCTTCTCCCTTTTTCTTGCTATTGTTTCCAGTAATGAGAATAGATACTGTGGGCTCTTAATATTAGATCGAGGTCAGATACAGTATTTATCTCCCAGATTACGATATAATCATAGCAGTGACGTGAGCAGAATTGCAATGAGTGTACAGGACAATTTGTATAGTTCTGCAGCTATTAATATTTCCTTTGCTGATGAGTTGCATTAAACATTAAATACACATTTTATTCTAATTTTTTGATTTTGGAAACATCTCAGTATTAACTATACATTAAATAAAATTGTAGCCTGACTGTAAGAAATAATAAAAATATTACTAGAAGTTTCAATATCCCTTTAAAATGTCTCCTCATTCTAGAATAAAATGAATACCTGGTGATTGCAGGATAACAACAGCAAGTCATACAAAATTATTCAATGAATTAAATTATTCAATTTAACCTAGTATTTTGACTTCTATCCTGGTCAATCAGTTTTCTCAGAATTTTCTGGCTATTAGTCAATAGTACAATATTTCTCTACAACAAAATGTTTTTATAAGTATTTATAATTAACAACATTGTTAATCAAATTGAGACATTGTTAATCAAAGACAGTCAATCAAGCACAGTTGATCAGATCTAATGAAACACAAGAATGGAGAGAAATAAATATTAATGTCATCCTCTAAGCTCCTATAGGGGGCAAAAATGTCTCCAAAAGCAACATTCATGATTTAGGTCTCTAATCCCTAATAATACTATTTTCTTTTAATTGATTTTATTTTTATATTATTCAAAAATATTGTATTATGTAACTGTTGGGGTGTGCAAGTGAATAAAAAATGCAATAATAAATAGGTCTCAGATTTCATTCCCTTTACTTATATCTCATTTGCTTAATTATTTTGGTCTTCATAAATTTAAGAAGAGAACTTGGGTTATTTTCACTTAAATGTTTATATTAACAAGCTTTTATTCTAATCTTGATATTAATGTTCTTTTTCAGATGTTTCAATTCATTTAAATAATATATTATTTTGGTATTGATACTTTTAGTACTTTGCCAATAACCAAAGTTCTAAAAATTACTTTAATCTGTGTTCCTGATTGCTTTGCTCCTGTGATTTTCTGTTATCCTTGCTAATTCAAAGCAACTGTATTTTGTTTAGCACCATTGAACACATCATCTCTGCAAAAGTAGCTACAACTTCCAAAATTAGAGTCTGTGCCATACAGTAAAAGTCAAACTACCTAACCTTTCACAAACAACAAGAAATGTGAAAAGTCAGTGACACACTGGACAGAAGAAACAGTGAGACCAGCAGGCCATTTAATCTACATTATTCTCTCCAGGCTTTTAAAAATAATTATGCCATCATGTGCTTTTTGCTGCTATTATGTCATAATTGTCTTACATCTCAAATCATTAATTAAAATGGATTTTAAGAGTAAGGAATTGGTTGATTTAGAATAAGAAATTTGAATCTGAAAAGGGCCTCTTCCAAAAATATATCAAGGCTAACTTAGAAGTTATTCTCTCTCATTGGCCGGGTGCGGTGGCTCACGCCTGTAATCCCAGCACTTTGGGAGGCCGAGGCGGGCGGATCACGAGGTCAGGAGATCGAGACCATCCCGGCTAAAACGGTGAAACCCCGTCTCTACTAAAGATACAAAAAATTAGCCGGGCGTAGTGGCGGGCGCCTGTAGTCCCAGCTACTTGGGAGGCTGAGGCAGGAGAATGGCGTGAACCCGGGAGGCGGAGCTTGCAGTGAGCCGAGATCCCGCCACTGCACTCCAGCCTGGGCGACAGAGCGAGACTACGTCTCAAAAAAAAAAAAAAAAAAAAAGAAGTTATTCTCTCTCATTTACATTGTTTCAGGAGTGAGCATGTAGTAGAAAAAATAGTACTATATGAGGATTCTAAAGCAATAAGGATGATTATATACTTTTATGAAGAAGTATACAATATGTAACTGAAGTATTTTCCAGAGAAAATAATTTTTATTTCCAACATATATATTCTGTAATTTAAAAAGAGAAATCATGAAGTACATTAGTTTCAAATTCATAAAAGAATATATTCCATTTCCACATTGACTTCAATTTTTCTTAATTTTAAGAAATATAAAATAAAAACGAATCACTATCAGGTAATGAAGTGAAACGTGCTTTGTTACTTACTGAAATCAAATAATGTAACAATAACAAAAAATACAGATGCCTTTGAAATATCTAAAGTCACAATTTTACAGAGTTAAATGTCATCTGGTGGGCTTACATTTCAGTAGTGTGACACAGAGAATAACAAAATATACAAGTAAAACAAATTATGTGTCGGATGGTAAGTGCTATGAAGAAAAAACACAAATGGAGCAAACTGCTATTTGAAATAGGGTAGCAAAGAAAGTCTTTACTAACTCAAATGTCATTTGAGTAAAGATCTAGAGAAGGTAAGTATCAAGCCAAATAGATATTCTGGGTAGGAGAATTCCAGGTAAAGGAAGAATGGGTCAGCTGGATACCTGCTGTGATTCCAGAACAGCAGGGAGTTGGGTTAGGCTCAAGTGTCTATTAGTAGATGGTTAAGTCGAAAAGGTGTTTATGGTGGTGGTAGTGAAAATAGTAATCTTGTATTCCCTTATATACTACTCTAAAGTCTTTTATATTTACTCCAATTGAAATGAGACCCACTGGAGGGTTTTATGTCTTTAGTCATAATCAACAGTGTTATATCACTGCTGTGGCAGAGCAAAGTGTGGGCAGAGACAGAAAAACTAGCTACTAAGTATTTACAAATATGTATGAGGCAGATATTGGTGGTTTGGGCAAGAGGAGTAGAAGTGGAGGTGACAAAGATTCGAAGGATTCTGGCTACCTTTTGAAGAAAACACTAACAGGTTTTCCGGAAATTGCAAATGAGGTGGAAAGAAAAAGAGATATTGAGAGCCACCCAAGCTTCTAGCTTGAGAAACTGAGAGGATGAGATTGCCTTTAATGAAATGGAGAGATTATGGGAGGAAACAGTTTTGGTAGGGGGAGGAGGGCATTTAGTGATTGAAAGTTAAGTTTTAGAAATTTTAACTTTCAAATGCTTGCAAGATATCAAAGTAGAAACCCTGGGCAGGTGAATATAAATCTAGAGTTCAGGAGAGAATTCTGGAGTGGAGACATAAACGTGAAAGTCATTCAGATAAAATACAATTTAAAATGGTAACACTGGATGATATCACCAAAGAATTGAATAAAGGTGGAAAAGAGAAAAAATTAAAGGACTAATTGCTGAGATAGTCCAATACTGGAGATGAGGTGAAGCCACTGAAAGAAATTGAGAAGGGACAGGTAGATTGGAGAAAAAGAAAACTGGTACAATGTGGATTTGGAAGCCAAGCAGGCAGTGTTTCAAAGCTCAAGAAGTGTCAAATGTTGCTAATAGATCAAAGAGGAGGGGACTGAAAAATGGCAGTTAAATTTGGCAGAGTGAAAATAATGAATTACCTTTTCAGGGACTGGTGGGGTAAAGGTCATATCAGAATGATTTCATGGAAATACACTGGAAACAGGAAACTGAGAAGGTTGTGGGGGTTGGCTACAAAGAGAAGATGTGATATGGTACAGAAGACAGAGAAAGAAGTGGAATTAAAATAAAAATGACTCAAATTACTGTGAATCTCAGCATTTCATCCTAGTAAATCAGAGTTCCCAAACCTTAATTAGAGTACAGCATATCAGAATTAAATTAAGATGTGCGAACCATTATTTGATTTATTTGTATTTTCCTTTATTGGCAAGGACTTCAACTTTTAATAACTGAGGTATTTTTAATTGTATGTTATTTTTCAGTATGTTCTTAAGGATATTTTTAAAACTAGATCAGTAACTCATACAATTAGCTATTAAATAAAAGCACAGATTGGGTAGCACTGGCTCTATTTCTCCCAGGTATTTTGCAGAAGAAACTGTAGCAATACGTATACATATCCATGACAGTGTTTCCCTGGATTGCCTAAAACATGTTTTTCACTCATTCACAATGGTCTTTACAAGCAAACCATCTTTAAAGTTTTACACTTGATATAAATATAGTAAGGTAAAAGCAATATAAAAAGTAGAAATAGTGACATGAGTTTCTTTACATCAAAGGGATGGTTTTGGCTAGTCAAGTTTCATATGCATCAAATTACACAATTTCACAGAGTTTTGTTCAGACATGTAAAGAAGTGATGATGATCAAATGAAAACTACATTTATTTTCACTTCATGTGCATCCCTTGGTTTGGCCATGAGAGTGTTATTGCAAATCAAAATAAAATATAAACAAAACCACATATCTTCATAGGTTTATATTTTATCATCCAAAAGAAGAGGTGAGAGCAAGTGCTCTCATCAAACATTCTAGTGAATGAAAGTGAAAAATAAAAGATTTCAGAAAAACTTTTAAAAAAATTGATAGACAAAATTATTTGTACTTATTAGGTATAACATGATGCTTTGTTGTATGAATTGTGCGTTGAAGTGTGTGTGTGTATACATATGTATATATGTATACACACACATAATATATGTATGTGTAGATATGTATATATATATGAAGTATATATATACATATGTGCATATACAGGTATGTTTATATGGATTTCATATATAAAATATGTAAAAATTTATAAAATATACAAAAATGTGGTATCCATATATAAATATATATATAGTGGAATAATTAAATCTAGCTTATTAACAAATGCATTACCTCCTTTGTGATGAGAAAACTTAATATCTGTTCTCTGCAGTTTTCAAGAATATTTGATGGCAGGAATAGACACTTTCAGTTCTATACTCAGTTTTATTTCATGTTTCAGCACAAGCTTGAATAAAGTTCAGGTAAAATGTTATTATTTAAAATTGTTTACATGCCCCCACATGAACTAAATTTTTAACATTTCTAAGTAGTGTGAAAATAGTCTCCTGCTGCTTTGCTTTAACAGCATAAATAGCCTCCAAATAATACATGATCTTTAGGAAAACATTATGAGTTTATCTAATATACTTGCAGGTGAACACATTTCTAAATGTGGTGGGTGTTATGTTTTTCCCCAAATATTTAAGCAGTTGACATAGTGTTAAAATATTATTAGTTATGAATAAATCAAGGTCTTATTAAGAAAAATATAAATCTCAATATTTAAGAACAACATATGCAGAATTATGAATTCAGTGAAATTGTTTTCAGTTCAATTGAAAATGCTTATCAAAAATTTTATTATTCACTGTGACATACATAGACATTGCTTTGGAAGAAAGATAAGAAGAAAAGAGATAACTTTTCTCAAGGTGGTCAACATCTATGAGTGATATCTTATTAACAAAAAAGGTATTTGATAATAAGAATAATAACATATTTATCAGTCTGAAAAGTTAAAGAGGACTTCAGAAAGGAGATTATAATTTAGCTGCATCTTAGTACTTTAAAATAAAAGAACTGGTTTTATATGCATGATCTCACTGTACAAGCATGTTCCCTTCTCAACTCACACTAGTAGAGTTTTCTTTTCAGCCCTTTCATTGAAAGGACTATGGTCAAGGTCACAAAGAAGGAACTGATGAAAAATTTTAATTGTGACTCATGAACTCTGAGCAATACACATGTATCAGTATGTTCTCACACTGCTATAAAGAAATATCTGAGACTGGATAATTTATAAAGGAAAGAGATTTCTTTGACTCACAGTTCCACATGGCTTGGGAGGCCTCAGGAAACTTACTCTCACGGCAAAAGGGGGAGCAGGAATGTATTACATGGTGGCAGGAGGGAGTGAGAGCATGTAAAGGGGGAAGAGCACCTTATAAAACCATCAGATCTCATGAGAACTCACTTATTATCATGAGAACACCACGGGGAAAACCGCCCCCATGATCCAATCACCTCCCACCGGGTCCCTCCTCAACACCTGAGGATTATAATTTGAGATGAGATTTGAATGGGGACACAAAGCCAAATTATATCAACACGGAACAAGTTGACCACCTTTTTCTTCTTAAAATCTTCTCTCTTTACAAACAAGCTTATTGCTTCTGGGCTACAGATCTGTACAGTATGTTACAGTACTGAATACAGAGGCCAGTTATAACACAATGGTAAATATTTGTGTATCTAAACATACTTAAACATTAAAAAGGTACAATGAAAATTTGGTATGAAAGATTTAAAACTGGTACACCTGTATAGGGCAGTGACCATGAATGGAGTTTTCAGAACTGGAAGGTGCTTTGTATGAGTCAGTGAGTGAGTGGTGAGTGAATTTGAAGGCCTAAGAAATTTCTATATACTAATTTAGATGCTGTAAACACCATAAATCTAGGCAACACTAAATTTATATAAAAATTTTTATTTCTTTAGTAATAAATTAACTACCTTACTGTTACTTTTCTACTCTAAAAACATTTAATTTTTTTAACTTTTTGAATTTTTTGTAGTAACACTTAGCTTAAAACACAAACACATTTTATAGCTATACAAAAGTACATTTTTATATCTTTATAAACATTTTTCTATTAAAATTTATTTTTACTAGTTTTTTACTTTATAACTTTTTTCTAAATATGAAGACACAAACACACATTAGCCTAGGTGTACACAGAGTCAAAGTCATCAATATCTCTGTCTTCCTCCTCCACATCTTGTTCCACTGAAAAGTCTTCAGGGGCAATAACACACATGGAGCTGTCATCTCCTAGGAAAACGCCTTCTGGAGTACCTCTAAAGGATCTGCCTGAGGCTGTTTTACATTTACTATTTTTTCTATAAGTAAAAGAATTACACACAAAAATTGCAATAAAAGTATAGTGCAGTAAATACATAAATGGTAAAATAGTTTATTATCACTACCAAGTATTAGGTACTGTACATAATTGTATGCACTATGCTTTTTTATATGGCTGGCAGCTCAGTAGGTTTGTTTACAAAATCATCACCATGAATACGTAAGTAATGCAATACACTAAGACTTTAAGACGGCTATGACATCACTAGGCAATAGTAATTTTTCAGCTCCATTATAATCTTATGGGGCCACCATTGTGTATGTCAGTCATTGACTGAAATGGTGTTATACAGAACATGTGACACAGTCTCTCTCTCCATATATGTATACATACTATAAACACATTTTATATTTATTGCATTTTTTTAAATTATTTGTTCCTGAGTAGGATTGGCCCTTGGTATCCTTTGCTTTTTTTTCTTCAACTTTTATTTTACATTCCAGGGTACATGTGCAGGATGTGCAGGTTTGTTACATAGGTAAAAGTGTGCCATGGTGGTTTGCTGCACAGACCAATCCATCACCTACGTATTAAACCCAGCATCCATTAGCTATTCTTCCTGATGCTCTCCCTCCCCTCACAACCCCCTGACAGGCCCCAGTGTGTGTTGTTCCCTCCGACATGTGTCCATGTGTTCTCATCATTCAGCTCCCCCTTATAAGTGAGACCATGCAATGTTTGGTTTTCTGAAGTTTACGTAAGGCTTGTACAATGTATCAAGGAATGTTTCCTTTCTTTTTCTTTCTATGGCTTCATTTTGTTGAAGAGCAGTTTTAGGTTTACAGCAAACTTAAGAGAAATGTAGAGATATTTCATATATAACAGCTGTCTCCCCACACACATAGCTTTCTTCATTATCAACATCCCCAACCACAGTGGTACATTTGTTAAAATTGATGAGCAATTTTAACATCATTACCAAAGTTATGTTTAATTGATGAACATTGACACATCATAACCCAAGTCCATAGTTTACGCAGCACCAGGAGTGCACTATAATGTATTCTATGGGTATGGACAAATGTATAATGGCATGTGTCCATCATTAGAATATCATTCAGAATATTTTTACTACCCTGAAAATCCTCTGTACTTTGCCTATTTATTTTTCCCTTCCTAACTCCTGACAATCACTGAATGTTTTACTGTCTCTATGGTTTTGTCTTTTCCAGAATATCATATAGTTGAAATCATATAGTATGTAGCCTCTTCAGATTGGCTTCTTTCACTTAATTATATGCATGTAAGTTTTCTCCATGTATTTGCATGGCTTGTTAGCTCTTTTTTTTTTTTCAATCAGAATCACAGCCTCAGCTCATTTATTTTTTCTACTGAACAATATTCTGTTTTCTAAATGCATCACAATTTATTTATTCATTCACCTACTGAAGGACTTCTTGCTTGCTTCAAAGCTTTGGAAATTATAAATAAAACTGCTTTCAATATCAGTGTACATGTTTTTGTATGGACTGTTTTCAATGCCTTTGGATATATATTAAGGTACATTATTGCTGGATCGTATGGTAAGGACATGCTTCATTTTTTCAGAAACTGCCAAATTGTCTTCCAAAGTGGCTGTACCATTTTGCATTTTTGCCAGCAATGAATGAAAGTTTCTGGTGCTCCACATCCTCTCCAGCATTTGGTGTAGCCAGTCTTTTGAATATCGACTATTCTAATAAATGTGTAGTGGCATCTTGTTTTATTAGCATTTCCTTGATTACCTATGATGTGAAACATCTTTCTATATAATTATTTGCCATCTGTAAATAGTTTTCTCTGATTTCATAAATATTAAGACTTCTTAAAACTTTAAAAAATTTTTAATTTGATGGGTACATAATAGTTGTACATATTTATTGAGTACATGTGATATTTTGATACATGCATAGAATGTGTTGTGATCAAATCTGGATAATTGGGATATCTATCACCTCAAGCATTTATCATTCTTTCTGGGTATAAATCTAAAAGAAAAGAAATCAGTATATTAAAAAGATGTCTGTGATCCCATTTTTTTTGCAGCACCATTAACAATTGTCACAACATGGAATTAATTAAATTGTCTGTCCATCAAGGGATGAATGGATAAAGAAAATATGGTACATGTATACAATGGAATATTATACAGCCATGAAAATGAATGAAATTCTGTCATTTGCAATGTAAATGGAACCAGAGAAATGTCTGTTAAGTGAAATAAGCCAGGCACAGAATGACAGATATCAAATGTTCTCCCTGATATTTGGGAGCTAAAAAATTATTTTGAAGTCATTTGTATATCTGTATTTGATGAGGTGTCTATTAAGGTCCTTTGCCCATTTTTTACTCAGTTTTTTTTTATTATTGAGTTTCTTAAGTCCCTCGTATATTTTGGGTAATAGTCTTTTACCAGATGTGTCCTTTACAAATATTTTCTTTCAGTCAGTAGCTTGTTTTCTCATTTTTGGACCATTATCATTTGCAGAGCAGAAGGTTTAAATTTGAATTAAAGATAACTTATCAATTACATTTCATTCATTTTCATTTTCAGAGGTTTATATAATGTTAGAATTCTCAGATATATTTGTTGATAATATATTTGCTAAAAGTGTCCTGTCAAATATATTTCCACTGTGGAAAAATTTAAATAATGAATAATTTTTTGAAGGCTATATGGGTATACTAATGTTCTATATTTTGTTAAAAGTAAGATATTTTGTAGACTTTTGTTCATATACCTAATTTCAAACTTACTGGCATCTCTATTGTTTTTAATTCAAATATCAGTCTTTCTACTTACTTTTCTGTTTGCTAGGAATTCTATTTCCCTAGATTTTATGATTTAGGCCTCAAATCAAATGTAATCTCAAAGAAGCCTTCCTTGACTATGCTATATTACTATGTTACAGACATTCATTTTATTTCTGCATTATTAATTTAACTGCTTAGAGAAATTATCTCAGTTGTTTACTTTGTTATTAGAATTTTAGCTCCACGAGAGCAGGAATGTAGTCTGTCTCATTTATCACTGTATTCTCAATCCCTAGTACAGTGTCTAGAGTATAGTATGCCATATGTATTTTCTGAATAAATGAATCGTACTTACTATTGTTAGGAGACAATCTTCCATAGTTCTTTAACATTTCTGCATAGTGTACAGTGAGGCATTGGCCCCATTTTATTCTGGATGTCTTTTCAAGATTGTCTGAGTAATGAACAGTCTTTGAAGATAGATCTAATATTTTCCTCTGGAGCAAAGGGAAACATGCTTTCTAGTATAATAAAGATAATTTCTATCTCCCAAGTACAGGATAGGAATGTGGATTACCCATTATAAAATATTTGCTTTCTATATGCTCACAATTCCTTTCCCAAAACACAATCCACTGTGTGTGCACACATCCATCTACTTTGTCCTTGTGGGATTTGGGAATAAAGGATATTGGCACAAATTTGTCCATGCTAATGATGCTTGCTGTACTGTGTGTAATGTAGTCCACTGTCTTTGACCCAGAAGTCTCATAGCTTCTCCAAGCATTCATGGAACTGTGGAAGGCTAACTTGTTATCTTGTTATAGAGTTAAATCTCAAATCTCAACATTTCCTCACAATTGCATACTAGTTGGAGATGAAGGTACATATTAGGTGAAGAATGCTTGCCCATACTTAGTCTTGAGGACTTACAGATCTTGCCCAAAATTACACAGTAAATAATTTAAGGTTTTGGGACTGGGGCCTATGTATTCTATAAAATATCGCTTAATACTAGAGTGAAAAACCCCAGTGTTTATAAAAAGATGTATTTTTAACCTTTCCTTTATATGCCTTCAAAATGTTCTGATATTCCTTTATTATATTTGTGTTTATATAATTGTTAATGACCAAAATATATGCTATTATGCTCAGCTAAAGCCATTCAAAACTTCATTGTACAAAAAACCAAAAATCCTTTCAATTTCTTATGGTAAAATGGTGCTAAAAAAGAATCACTTTTTGTTACTTGCCAAGAGCTCATTTATATTTTAGTTGTATTCAAAATATCTATTTAGATTTTTTACAAGTTTCATGAAGTCTAATTTCCCAATAAGCCTGAATAAAATACTTGTTTCCAATAGCACATTTTGAAATGTTTTTTGGAGTTGCTACTGAACTCCATTTGTACATTTTTTAAATTAAGAAAATAAATCAGCTAAAGTCTATTATAGCACAGTTATCCTATTTGTTACACTAGCTTTGTAGCTACCAAAATTTCCTTGAATTATAGCCTCAAAATTTAACCAAGGTCCTCCACCCTAACCATCCATGGCTGAAATCATACTTAATAATTTTCTCTGACTTGATACATAAACAGCAATATATTGACTTTATAATCCCTCTGAATATGGCTCATAAATTTGGGTTACTCAGCTTTAAAATTGTTTTGTGGACATAAAACTCACTTAACTCATCAATTATGTAGTTCAACCACTGTCATTTGACTTTTTGGAATATAAATAACGTGCTACATTTAAGCTACTGACTGTTGTTTTATAAATTTTATCAGCTGAGAGATTATTGCACATACATGCAATTGTGAAATAAGATAATCAGTGTTCGTATATTTCATAAGTAGTCATTCTGGAATTTAAATATCTTTATAAAAAGATTCTATAAAATTTACAAATATTTGCTGTGGCTTAAATTGCTATGTGTGATGTAGTACAATGACTTTTATCCCAAATAATTTATGCTTTTCAAACAGGTGTCAATCTTCAATGTTAGAGGGCAAGGAAGTCACATAATATAAAGTTATTGTTAAAGAAATATGTGCTCTTCATTAAAAATCACTATTTAACCAGTTATTTTGATGTTTAAATATATGTAGATATAATGAAATTTACTATTAAAATATTAATAGCTTCCAAAACACAGTTCAGAAAAGGTAATATTTAGACAGTTAATTTTGGAAAAAAACGAAATGCTTGTTTGATTTCTCTTTATTATTTTTACATTGTAGTATGAAAAACACTTTCACAATGTACACAGTTTCTCTAAAATTGTAATGATATTCTCCATATCATTTTAACAAAAAAAAAACTTACAGTTAAAGCAAAAAAATTATCTTTGCCTCTATTCTTGAAAACAAAAGTAAAATATTTTTCATTTTTTCTTTTTAATTTTTATTTATTTTTTAATTTTTCCATAAGTTATTGGGGTACACATGGTATTTGGTTACATGAGTAAGTTCTTTAGTGGTAATTTGTGAGATTTTGGTGCACCCATCACCTGAACAGTATACACTGCACCATATTTGTAGTCTTCTATCTCTTGCCCAGCTCCGACTCTCCCCCAAGTCTCCAAAGTCCATTGCATCATTCTTATGCCTTTGTGTCCTCATAGCTTAGCTCCCACATATCAGTGAGAACATATGATGTTTGGTTTTCCATTCCTGAGTTACTTCACTTAGAATAATAGTCTCCAATCTCATCCAGGTCACTGCAAATTCTGTTAATTCATTCTTTTATGGCTGTGTAGTATTCCATCATATATTTATAATTATCTCTATGTATATGATATATTTTATATATATAATCACAGTTTCTCCACTTGTTGATTGATGAGCATTTGGGTTGGTTCCACGATTTTGCAATTGTGAATTGTGCTGCTATAAACAGCATGTGCAAGTTATCTTTTTTGAATAATAACTTCTTTTCCTCTGGGCAGATAGCCAGTAATGGGATTGCTGGATCAAAGGGTAGTTCTACTTTTAGTTCTTTAAGAAATCTCCACACTTTTTCCCACAGTGGCTCTATTAGTTTACATTCCCACCAGCAGTGTAGAAATGTTCCGTGTTCACCACATCCACACTAACATCTACTGTTTTTTGATTATGGCCATTCTTGCGGGAGTGAGGTGGTATTGCCTTGTGGTTTTGATTTGCATTTCCCTGATCATTAGTGATGTTGAGCATTTTTTCATATGTTTGTTGGCCATTTATATATTTTCTTTTGAGAATTGTCTGTTCATGTCCTTAGCCTACTTTTTTATGGGATTATTTGTTTTTTTCTTACAGATTTGTTTGAGTTCATTGTAGATTCTGGATATTAGTCCTTTGTCCAGATGTATAGATTGTGAAGATTTGCTCCCACTCTATGGGTTGTCTGTTTACTCTGCTGTTACTTTTGCTGTGAAAAGCTTTTTAGTTTAATTGGGTCCCAGCTATTTATCTTTGTTTTTATTGCATTTGCTTTTAGGTTCTTGGTCATGAAATCCTTGCTAAGCCAATGTCTAGAAGGGTTTTTCTAATGTTATCTTCTAGAATTTTTATAGCTTCAGGTCTTAGGTTTAAGTCCTTAATCCATGCTGAATTTATTTTTGTATAAGGTGAGAGATGAGGATCCAGTTTCATTCTCCTACATGTGGCTAGCCAATTATCCCAGCACCATTTGTTGAAAAGGGTGTTCTTTCCCCACTTTATGTTTTTGCTTGCCTTGTCAAAGATCAATCAGCTGTAAGTATTTGCGTTTATTTCTAGGTTCTCTATTCTGTTCCATTGGTCTATGTGCCTATTTTTGTACCAGTACCATGCTGTTTTGGTGACTATTGCCTTATACTATAGTTTGAAATCAGGTAGTGTAATGTCTCCAGATTTGTCCTTTCTGCTTAGTCTTGCTTTGGCTCTTTTTGGTTCCATATGAATTTTAGAATTGGTTTTTCTAATTCTGTGAAGAATGATAGTGGTATTTTGATGGAGATTGCATTGAATTTGTAGATTGCTTTTGGCAGTATAGTCATTTTCACATTATTGATTCTACCCATCCATGAACATGGGATGTGTTTCCATTTGTTCATGTCGTCTATGATTTTTTTCCACAGTGTTCTGTAGTTTTCCTTGTAGAGGTCAACTGACACCTTTGTTAGGTTTATGCCTAATATTTTATTTTTTTGCAGCTATTGTAAAAGGAGTTGAGTTCTTGATTTGATTCTCCACCTGGTTGCTGTTGGTGTATAGAAAAGCTACTGATTTGTGTACATTAATCTTGTCCCTTGGAACTTTGCTGAATTCTTTCATGAGTTCTAGGAGCTTTCTTTAGAAGTCCTTAGGGTTTTCAAGGTAAACAATTATATCATCAGCAAGCAGGGACAGTTTGACTTCCTCTTTACTTATTTGAATGCCCTTTATTTCTTTCTCTTGTCTGATTTCTCTGGCTAGGACTTCCAGTATTACTTTGCAGAGGAATGGTGAGAGCGGGCATCCTTGTCTTGTTCCAGTTCTCAAAGAAAATGCTTTCAACTTTCCCCCATTCAGTATTATGTTGGCTGTGGGTTTGTCATAGATGGCTTTTATTACATTAAGTCGTGTCCTTTGTATGCCGATTTTGCTGAGAGTTTTAATCATAAAGGGATCCTGGATTTGTTGAATGCTTTTTCTGCATCTATTGAAATGATCATGTAATTTTTGTTTTTAATTCTATTTATGTGGTGTATCACATTTATTTACTTTCATATGTTAAACCATCCCTGCATCCCTGGTATGAAACCCACTTGACCATGGTGGATTATCTTTTTGATATGTTGTCGGATTCAGTCAGCTTGTATTTTGTTAAGGATTTTGGCATCTATGTTCATCAAGAATATCAGTCTGTAGTTTTCATTTTTGGTTATGTCCTTTCCTGGTTTTGGTATTAGGGTGATGCTGGCTTCACAGAATGAATTAGAAAGGGGTCCTTCTTTCTCTACCTGGTGGAATAGTGTCAAAAGGATTGGTATCAATTCTTCTTTGAATGTCTGGTAGAATTCTGCTGTGAATCTGTCTGGTCCTGGACTTTTTTTTGTTGGTAATTTTTTAATTACCATTTCAATCTCACTGCTTGTTATTGTTCTGCTCAGGGTATCTAGTTCTTCCTGATTTAAGCAAGGATTATATTTTTACAGAAATTTACCCATCTCTTCTAAGTCTACTAGTTTATGTACATAAAGGCATTCATAGTAGCCTTGAATGATCTTTTGTATTTCAGTGGTGTCAGTTGTAATATCTCCTATTTCATTTCTTAGTGAGGTTATTTGGATTTTATCTCTTCTTTCCTTGGCTAATCTTGCCAATGGCCTATCAATTTTATTTATCTTTTCAAAGAACCAGATTTTGTTACATTTATGTTTTGAATTTTTTTGTTTCAATTTCATTTAGTTCTGCTCTGATTTTGGTTATTTCCTTTCATCTGGTGGGTTCAGATTTGATTTATTCTTGTTTCTCTAGTTCCTTGCGGTATGACCTTAGAGTGTCAGTTTGTGCTCTTTCAGTCTTTTTGATGTAGGCATTTAGGATTATGAATTTTTCTCTTAGCACTGCCTTTGCTGTATCACAGAGGTTTTGATAGGTTGTATCTTTATTGTCATGCAGTTTGAAGAGTTTTTTAATTTCCACGTTGATTTTATTTTTGATCCAATGCTCATTCAGAATGAGGTTATTTAATTTCCATGTATTGGCCTGGTTTTGAAGGTACCTTTTGGAGTTTATTTCCAGTTTTATTCCACTGTGGTCTGAGAGAGTGCTTGATATAATTTCAGTTTTCTTAAATTTATTGAGGCATGTTTTATGGCCTATCATATGGTCTATCTTGGAGAAAGTTTCATGCACTGTTGAATAGAATGTGTATTCTGTGGTTCTTGGATGAAATGTTCTGTATGTATCTGTTAAGTCCATTTGTTCCAAGGTATAGTTTAAATCCATTGTTTCTTTGTTGACTTTCTGTCTTGATGATGTGTCTAGTGCAGTCATTGGAGTATTGAAGTCCCCTACTATTATTATGTTGCTGTCTGTCTCATTTCTTAGGTCTATTGGTGATTGTTTTATAAATTTTGAAGCTCCAGTGTTAGATGCATATATGTTTAGGATTGTGATAGTTTCCTGTTGGACAATGTCTTTTACCATTATATAATGTCCCTCTTTGTCTCTTTTAACTGCTGTTGCTTTAAAGTTTGTTTTGTCTGATTTAAGAATAGCTACCCTTGCTCACTTTTGGTGCCCATTTGCATGAAATGCCTTTTTCCACCCCTTTAGTTTAAGTTTATGTGAGTCCTTAAGTGCTAAGTGAGTCTCCTGAAGGCAGCACATGGTTGGTGAGTTGTTATCCATTCTGCAGTTCTGTATCTTTTAAGTGGAGTATTTAGGCCATTTACATTCAATGTTATTGAAATGTGAGGTACTGTTGCATTTGTTGTGCTTTTTATTGCCTGTGTACTTTGGTTTTTTTGTTTTTGTTTCTACTTTTTAACTTGTATTTTTGTTTTATAAGTCCTCTGTAATTTTTCTGTTTTGATGTGTTTCCAGGATTTGTTTCAAGATTTAGAGCTCCTTTTAGCAGTTCTTATAGTGCTGGCTTTGTAATGGTGAATTATCTCAGCATTTGTTTGTCTGAAAAAGCTGTATCTTTCCTTCATATATAATGCTTAGTTTCACTGGATACAAAATTCTTGGCTGATAATTGTTTTGTTTGAGGAGGCTGAAGACAGGGCCTCAGTTTCATCTCGCTTGTGGGGTTTCTGCTGAGAAATCTGCTGTTCACGTGATAGGTTTTCCTTTATAGGTTATATGATGCTTCTGTCTCACAGCTCTTAAGAGTATTTCCTTCGTCTTAACTTTGGATAAAGTGATGACAGTGTGCCTGGGTGAAGATCTTTTTGTGATGAATTTCCCAGGTGTTCTTTGTGCTTCTTGTATTTGGATGTCTAGGTCTCTAGCAAGGCCAGGAATGTTTTCCTAGATTATTCCCCCAAATATGTTTTCCATGCTTTTGGAATTCTCTTCTTCCTCAGGAACACCAATTATTCTTAAGTTTGATCATTTAACATAATCCCAGACCTCTTGGAGGCTTTGTTCATATTTTCTTACTCTTTTTTAGTATTAGTTGTATTAGATTAATTTGAAGAACTGTTCTTAGAGTTCTGAATTTATTGCTTTTTACTTGTTCAGTTCTATTGCTGAGACTTTCCAGAGCATTTCACGTTTCTAAAAGTGTGTCCAAAGTTTCCTGAATATTTACTGTTTTTTTTAAACTATCTATTTTCTTGAATATTTCTCCCTTTACTTTTTGTATCATATTTTGGGTTTTCTTTCATTGGGCTTCACTTTTCTCTGCTCCCTCCCTGATTAGCTTAATAACTAACCTCCTGTATTCTTTTTCAGGTAAATCAGGGATTTATTCTTGGTTTGAATCCATTGCTGGTGAACTAGTGTGATTTTTGGGGGGTGTTGAAAGAGCCTTGTTTTGTCATATTACTAGGGTTGGTTTTCTGGTTCCTTCTTATTTGGATAGGTTCTGTCACAGGGAAGGTCTAGGGCTGAAGGCTGTTGTTCAGATTCTTTTGTCTCACAGGGTGTTCCCTGGATGTAGTACTCTCTCCCTTTTCCTATGGATGTGGCTTCTTGTGAGCTGAACTGCAGTGATTGTTGTCTCTCTTCTGGGTCTAGTAACCCCTTGAACCTGCCCAGCTCTGGGCTGGTATTGGGGATTGTCTGCACAGAGTCCTGTGATGTGAACTGTCTGTGGGTCTCTCAGCCATGGATACCAGTGCCTGTTCTGGTGGAGGTGGCAGGGGTGGGTGCAATGGACTCTACTTGGGTTCTTAGCTTTGGTGGTTTAATGCTCTATTTTTTTGCTGGTTGGCCTCCTGCCACGAGGTGGCGGTTTCCAGAAAGCATCAGCTGTGGTATTAGGAGGAGGAACTGGCAGTTGGCAGGGCCCTAGAACTCTCAAGATAATATCCTCTTTGTCTACTGCTACTGTGTCCGGAATTGGTGGGTTCTTGGTCTCACTGACTTCAAGAATGAAGCCGCGGACCCTCGCGGTGAGTGTTACAGCTCTTAAGGTGGCGCGTCTGGAGTTCGTTCCTTCTGATGTTCAGATGTGTTCGGAGTTTCTTCCTTCTGGTGGGTTTGTAGTCTCGCTGGCTCAGGAGTGAAGCTGCAGACCTTCGCAGTGTTACAGCTCTTAAGGCGGTGCATCTGGAGTTGTTCATTCCTCCTGGTGGGCTCGTGGGCTTGCTCACTTCAGGAGTGAAGCTGCAGACCTTCGTGGTGAGTGTTACAGCTCATAAAAGCAGTGTGGACCCAAAGAGTGAGCAGTAGCAAGATTTATTGCAAAGAGCAAAAGAACAAAGCTTCCACAGTGTGGAAGGGGACCTGAGTGGGTTGCCACTGCTGCCTCTGGCAGCCTGCTTTTGTTCTCTTATCTGGCCCCACCCACATCCTGCTGATTGGTAGAGCCAAGTGGTCTGTTTTGACAGGGTGCTAATTGGTGCATTTACAATCCCTGAGCTAGTCACAAAAGTTCTTCATGTCCCCACTAGATTAACTAGATACAGAGTGTAGACATAAAGGTTCTCCAAGGCCCCACCAGAGTAGCTAGATACAGAGTGTCGATTGGTGCATTCACAAACCCTGAGCTAGACACAGGGTGCTGATTGGTGTGTTTACAAACCTTGAGCTAGATACAGAGTGCCCATTGGTGTATTTACAATCCCTGAGCTAGACATAAAGATTCTCCACGTCCTCACCAGACTCAGGAGCCCAGCTGGCTTCACCCAGTGGATCCCGCACTGGGGCTGCAGGTAGAGCTGCCTGCCAGTCCCGTGCCGTGCGCCCACACTCCTCAGCCCTTGGGTGGTCGATGGGACTGGGCGCCGTGGAGCAGGGGGCAGCGCTCATCAGGGAGGCTCGGGCTGCACAGGAGCCCATGGAGGGGGTGGGAGGCTCAGCCATGGCGGGCTGCAGGTCTCGAGCCCTGCCCCATGGGAAGGCAGCTAAGGCCTGGTGAGAAATCGAGAGCAGCACCGGTGGGCTGGCACTGCTGGGAGACCCAGTGCACCCTCCGCAGCCACTGGCCCGGGTGCTAAGCCCCTCATTGCCTGGGGCTAGCAGGGCCGGCAGGCTGCTCCGAGTGTGGAGCCTGCCAAGCCCACGCCCACCCGGAACTCCAGCTGGCCCGCGGGCGCCGAATGCGCTGCCCCGGTTCCTGCTGGCGCCTCTCTATCCACACCTCCCTGCAAGCTGAGGGAGCCGGCTCTGGCCTTGACCAGCCCAGAAGGGGGCTCCCACAGTGCAGCGGTGGGCTGAAGGGCTCCTCAAGTGCCGCCAAAGTGGGAGCCCAGGCAGAGGAGGCGCCGAGAGCCAGCGAGGGCTGTGAGAACTGCCAGCACGCTGTCACCTCTCACTACCAAGGTGGGTGAGGGAAGACCATCAGATGGGGGTGGGGCTAGGCGAGTCTGGGCTTAGACTCTTCTTGGTCAGATCTTGCTGTGGCTGCTGTCAGGGGTGGGGGTGAGATTCCCAGGTCACTGGAGTTGTGTACCTAGGAGGATTATGGTTGCCTCTGCTGAGTCATGAAATTTTTCAGGGAAGTGGGGAAAGCCAGCAGTCACAGGCCTCAGCTAGCACTCACACAAACTAAAGGGCTGGTCTCACTCCCCTATGCCCTTGCCAACAGCCCTCAGACCTTTTCCAGGCAGAGTGATATAGGCTTGAAAAACTGCCCCAGGCTAACTGCTTCCCAGCTGCGAAAGAAATGGGCTTGCTTCTTTCCCTGCCTGTGGAGCCAGCACAACAGATTTGCACCCTCCCATGAGTTCTGGCCGGGAGGCTTCTCACCCCATTCAAACTGTTACAAAGTTCAGCTAGAGGTTTGCTATTCCCTGTAGTTTTACCCCCTCTGTTCCTCCAGCATTGGATCCGTCTGATGCCAAGCAGGAATGACTTCCTAGGGGACCCTGTGAGCTCCCAGGGCCTTTCTGCTGTTTCCTCAGTGGTTCACATCTATAATCACAGCACTTTGGAAGGCCAATGCAGGAGGATCTCTTGAGCCCAGGAGTTAGAGACCAGCTTGGGCAACAAAGGGAGACCCTGTTTCTAAAGAAAAATGTGGTAGCATGTGCCTATACTTTCAGCTTCTTGGGAGGCTGAGGCAGGAGAATTGCTTGAGCCCAGGAGGTAAAGGCTGGATGATTATGCCAAGATTGTGCCACTACCTGCACTCCAGCCTGGTTAACAGAGAGACCCTGTCTCAAAATACATGAATAATTAATAAATAAATAAATAAATGAATAAACAAACTTGCCAATTAAAATTTAACAAAACACATAGAACTGCAACACAAGAAACAAACAAACAAGGTTTTTTAAAATGATACTTCAGACCAAATGTCTGGTAAATTTTATATTAAATTACATTAATTGTTTCTGTATGTTTTGTGTTGCTTTACATTCCAGATAGATACTACTGTTCATTATCAGAATTCTAAGTTTCAATGATCATTATCTTTTATTATTTTAAAATTAAAGATAGATAGATATAGTATTTTCTATATTTATCTAAGCTTAATATTCCTCAGAAAAATGACCTAAACAATACACTGTCTAAGCTGAAGTTGCAAGAAAGCTTTCAGACATATAAATATATTAGGCTTCAAATAATGAAAACAACATAAATCCAAAGCTCATACTCAAGTTTGAGCTAATTGTATATTTACAAATATAGTATTTTATTCTTTCCTTTTAAGTTATGTGTAGTATTTGTCTATTATAGTTACTGCTTGAGGAAAAAGTGAACAAGTTTTGCTTTGTGTATGCCTAAATAAAATTATCTTTTGAATATTGACTGTTAGCATATTACTACCATCTTAATATAGCAAAAGTAACATTAAATATTATAAAAAGTAAAAAATTATATATATAACCTGACTTCCTGAATGTGTGATCTATTTTTGGTATAAGTCGATGTGAGAGAAGCTTATCTGAAATAAAGATAGAAATATAGTCAAGACATAGTTGTCTGTCTGTGGTTCACTGACTTCTTTACCTAAATATATACCACAAAGCTCAGCACATCTCCACTGCAAATGCCAAATTAAATATTAACAATGTAAACCCTGGACTAATACAGGCGATAGCTGGATTTCAAGTTGGAAGTTGTTTTGGATGTATATTTAGATGTTCAGAGTTTTTTTTTTTTAATCCAAATATGCTTTGATGCTGCAAAAATCACTTTTAGTAGAAGTGCTGACAGAAACATTATTATGACAGGAGCTTCCAATTTTCCAGCCAACATATTGTTCTCAAAATAATTTTTATTTTATTTATGGACATTATATCATAGAGATATGAGAGCCTAAATGAGCAAAGTAAAGATTCTTGGTTGTTTCTGTTTTTCTTAGCTTTCAGAATCCATACATCTCACTCAGATCATTAAAGAAATAATACAGTTTCTACATTTTTAGCTGTTACCATAAGAAGTATAGGCCAATTTTTAAGAAACTAAAATGCCCCTTCGTGTTTTTTTGTTACCTCTTGTAACATAAAGGAAGAGGTTTACATTAAATAAATTACTTTTACACTAGTACAATGAAAGATTCAGACATAATTATGGAGGATGAAGATATATGGCAGCTCTTCTTTCTTTCAATATCTCTGTCACTAAATTTATTTTTATTGATGGCTGAAATATCCTAAATGTGGAAGAACAGGATACTTTATTTTCTTCTTCCTTCCTCCCTCCCTCTCTCTGTTGTTCTTTGCTTCTTTCCTTTCTCCCTTCTTTCTCCCCTTCCCTCTTCTCTTTGCCCTCTCCCTCCCTCTCTCCTTTCATCCTCTCTTCCTTTCCTTCTTTTCTACCCTTTCCTTTGTACGCTGTGAGCAATTGGTATATTTTGGGGGCATTCAGGTATTCATAATTGGATCAAAGTACTGGTTTTCAAGAGAAGGAAGAATCAAAATAATTTGTGGGTGATGTTCCAAAATAAGTACTTATCCTCTGCAACCCAATTCTCATATATCTCTATTTGGGGAAGAGAAAAATAAATGTTTTGAAAAAATTCCTAGGTGATTTTACTATTAGCCCCTACATGCTCCACATCTCCAGTTGGGAAACATAATTTTAGAATATCACAGTGATACTTTGCATGTGTGATGCATGTATCTGCTTATGATCATATAAGTTTGAAAAATTTTGAAACATTCTAAGATGTAATTACAATGAAATGTCCAAAGAAAATTTGAAGATCAAACAGAAATGTGGAACAACCTCTTATTAACGAAAAATCATTTTTGAATATTCCCTCTGTTTAATAAATATGATTTCAATCTTTTCACATTCCATGATTTTTTATGGGCTGGATTGTGTTAATGTGACACAAATCTTGCCTCAAATGTTTACTGGTAAGTCTGAGTAAGTTATAGGCTTTGTTTTAGCTATGTTCCAGTAATGCCTAGCTAAGATTTTATCTCAATCTTTTAAAAAAAATACTATAATAACCTGGTATTTATATTTTTCAAAATAAATTAACAAATCGATACTAAGTCTTGTCTGACAGTATTTGTGAGATTGTTTAGTGGGAATTAACTTTACAAAGTCAGATTACCTCTGAATCAACTATGATCATATCTTATTATTTAAAAACCAGCAACATGTTGCAGCTATTGTGACTTCAAAGTGCCTTGCCTGAATCAGTTGACACTCTTTATCCTAAACACTTTAGTTTGGCATAAATCCAGTGTTAGCTATTAACAAAGGCTATGATACAGGGAACACATAACTAGGACATTTAGAAGTTAACAATGTAGAGAAGCCTTGTAAAGTTTAGAAAAACTATGAAGACTAAAAAATAAAAATAGCAGTATCTAGAATATAATATACCTGTGGTATCGATAGGAAATTAAGTGCACAAAACTGCACTTATTAAGAAAGTTAGAAGTTTAAGAGGAAAGCTGAGTCAGGGTATCTATAAATCCAATTGAAGATAGTCATTATTATTGATAGTATTATTATTATGCTTTTGACTGTGCTTTACCCAAGGAAGGTAAAGTTTGCACAGCAAGTTGAAGGTCACACCTGCACAACTGTCATGAAGATTTTTTTCTTCTCTTTTCTTTGTTTCATGCCTGAAAGGAAAATGCATCAATATTACACAATTAATCAGTATAATTTTAATTTGTATCTTCAAATAACTGATGATTCAACATGATTTTATCATAATTCACTTTTTATGCTATTGAACAGGAATATAGAACTTCATTATTGAACAAATAGACTATAGTGCAATAGTGTGCATTGACCTGCTAAACAAAGTGTCTGACTAGAGCTGAATAGCTGATGTAATTGATTGAGGGCAAAATTGTCATAAGTTAAAATAATTTGAAAGGTGATGACTGTCATGCTTATAATGCTACAACATATAGATTTTTCAATGTTTTGCAATGATTATTTATAATATAAACATTTTGAGATATTTCATGATGTGATGGTCAAAATAGTTAACTCCTCACATACATTAAAGAAAACATGGCATTTAAAATGAAATGATGACAATCAGGTTTCTACTCTACACTGCTCAGATTACATGAATATTGTTCAGTTCTAAGAGAATAAAAATAAAATGTGAGTTGAGATGCTTGATTATTAATTAAACTGAAGGGATTTTAAAAGATAGAATCAACATATGAAGCATATGAATGAACTGGTCATGTTTTGAACTGAATCCGAATTGCTCTATGGAAGAATAATAAGAGTAATTTTATAGAAGCTCCAAAAATAGAATTTATTCAAATGGCAGATATATAAGTAGATATAAAAGAATTAATGTATCGAAGAATTATTTAACAAAGCTGTCAAAAGTTGAATAATTCCCGAAGAGGTAATATGGGTGTATAGGCTAAAATATCTATAGCAGGTATGCTCTATAAATAATTATGTAGATAGTTGAACAATGTGACATTTAAATGTCCTTATAATCCTTGAATTCTTGACTTACGATGATTCAATTAATTCATTAATTTGTCATTTACTAAATATTTGGTTTTTGTTAGGTGAGAATGGTTTATCTCTTTTACAATCTAATTCACTTGGATTATTTTTCTATTAGAAAATTTATTCTAGTTCTCTGTATTTGGTTACACCCTCTTTTTCTATTATTAATATAATTCTGCCACTTTTTATGTCCCTGTCTTATCCTAGATTCAATTAGTTAGGGGCATGAAAGTCAGGATTTATCATGGGAAAGGAATTTGCAGTTTATATTCTAAAACTGCACTTTTCAGACAACTGATTTGCTGAGCTGAGGGGAGTGTCATGCTATTATCTAAATAAACTTCATATTTTACAACAGCCATAACAGAATATACAAAGATAATGTCAAAACAAAGAATGCATTCTCCCTATTATACATGCCATTTGGTTTCTCATGTACCAGTATTATGAAAAAGGAAATTCTGGCTGGATTTCCTGGCGCCATGGCTCACACTTGTAATCTGAGAACTTTGCGAGACCCAGGTGGGAGGATCGCCTGAGTCCAGAATTTAGAGACCAGCCTGGGGAAAAAAAAAAAAAATGCCTGTAGTCCTAGCTACTCAGGGAGGCTGAAGCAGGAGGATCACTTGAATCTAGGAGTTCAAGGCTGCAGTAAGCCATGCTTATGCCACTGCACTTCAGCCTGGGTGAAGCTAAACATATTAAAAATATTAGAAATGTTACTCTTACATAGATGTTTCTACCATTGACAATAACTGTTTGACTAATATCAAGTCAACAAAAATAGTGTAAGAAATAAAAGTTATTGGCTGGGCACCGTGGCACTCACCTGTAATCCCAACACTTTTTGAGGCCGAGGTGGGCAGATCGCTTGAACTCAGATGTTTAAGACCAGCATGGGCAACATGATGAAACCCCATCCCTACAAAAAGTACAAACATTAGCTGGGTGTGGTGTTGTGCACCTGTGATCCCAGCTACTTGGGAGGCTGAGGTGGGAGGACCACCTGAGCCTGGGAGGGCAAGGCTGAAGTGAGCCATGATTGTGCCACTGCATTCCAGCATGGGCAACAGAGCGAGACCCTGTCTCAAAATAAACAAACAAAGAAATAAAAGTTATTTCTGTTATTGCCATTTATTTGTAGTTTTAAAATGATTTTAAATTCTAACACATGCCTATATTTGTCTTTTGCCATCAGGTCACATTTAAATATGAAATATATAAAGCACTCTGTGCTGAATCCAACCTATTGTGTGTCAGAAAATTATGTGCATTTTTTTCCTAGATGGTAGTAATTAAGTAGTAAGCACTGACACTGATGGAGTAAAGTTTCCAGCATCATGCCTATCTTTTTGTTCTAATTATTATTATTATTATTATTATTATTATTATTTTTGTGACAGGTTCTCCTTCTGTCACCCTGACTGGAGTGCAGTGGCACAATCACAACTTATGGTTATTGTAGCCTCAACCTCCCGCGCTCAATCGACCTTCCCACTTCAGCCTCCCAAGTAGCTAGGACTACAGGCACATGCCACCATGCCTGGCTCTATATTTGTACTTTTTGTAGAGACAAGATCTCACTATGTTGCCCAGGCTGGTCTTAAAACTCCTGTGCTCAAGGGACCCTCCGGCCTCATCCTTTCCAAGTGTTGGGATAACAGGCATAAGTTGCCACGCCCAACCATACCTACCATATTAATAAATGATAGATATCCAATGAAGAAAAAAACTGAATCGTTAATTGATTCATGTTTTAAATGAAGCTGGAATCTGTAAAATGGTTGGTAAATACAATGTATACTAGTGCTCAAAAACATTGTCATGAATTTTCGCCTAATTCTTAAGTGATAATTTTAATATGTAGTAAATATAAAGTTGTATACGTAACCCAAAGCAAATTACAGAAGTATTCAATTTTGTAAATAAAACCATGATTGTATTACGTAATTGTATGTATGTAAATAAAGGGCTACCACTAATTTTAGTGGTCAAATGACACCCTTGTTGAAGGGATTTTGCTGTATTTGGAGTCAAGTAAAAATAAATAAGAAATTATGTTTTTTTAAAAGTCTTTATTATCATAACTATTATTTGGTTTCAACATATTCCAGGAAAAATAGACAACCTAGAGTGCATAATGACGGCCATTATTAATGAAAAAAAAAAAAACAGTAGTAATCTGCAGGTAAAAGGAAAATAGAGGGAGGTAAAGATGCTTATTACAAAACCATCCAAATCAGTAAAGAGGAAGTCAAACTCACAGTTTGCCAATGATATAATTGTATACATAGAAAACCCTAAAGACTCATCCAAAAAGCTCCTACATTTGATAAATGAATTCAGTCAAGTTTCAGGATACAAAATCAATGTGCACAAATCAGTAGCACTGCTGTACAGCAACAATGACCAAGCTAAGAATCAAATCAAGAGCTCAACCCCTTTAACAATAGCTGCATAAAAATAAAATTTTTAGGAATAACCCTAACCAAGGAGATGAAAGACCTCTAGAACAAGGAAAACTTCAAAACACTGTTGAAAGAAATCATAGACAACACAAACAAATGGAAACACATTCCATGTTCATGGATGGTAGAATCAGTATTGTGAAAATGACCATACTCCCAAAGCAATCTACAAATTCATTGCAATTCCCATCAAAATGCCATCATTATTGTTCATAAAACTAGAAAAAAAGGATCCTAAAATTCATATGGAACCAAAAAAGAGCCCACATAGCCAGAGCAAGATTAAGCAAAAGAACAAATCTGGAGGCATCACATTATCTAACTTCAAACTATACTACAAGGCTATAGTTACCAGAACAGCATGGTACTGGTATAAAAATGGGCATTAGATCAATGGGACAGAATAGAGAACCCAGAAATAAAGCCAAATATTTATAGCAAACTGATCTTTGACTAAGCAAACACAAATGTAAAGTGGGGAAAGGACACCTTATTCAACGAATGGTACTGGGATAATTGGCAAGCCACATGTAGAAGAATAAAGCTGGATCCTTATCTCTCACCTCATATAAAAATCAACTCAAGATGGATGGAAGACTTAAATCTAAGACCTGAAATCATAAAAAATCTAGAAGATAACAGGAAAAACTCTTCTAGACATTGCCTTTGGCAAAGAGCTCATGACCAAGAACCCAAAAGCAAATGCAACAACAACAAAAAAATAGATGAGGCCAGGCACGGTGGCTCACACCTGTAATCCCAACACTTTGGGAGGCCGAGGGGGGCAGATCACCTGAGGTCAGGAGTTTGAAACCAGCCTGACCAACATGGCGAAACCCCGTTTCTACTAAAAATACAAAAATTAGCCAGGCCAGGTGGTGGACACCTGTGATCCCAGCTACAGGGGAGGCTGAGGCAGGAGAATTGCTTGAACCCTGGAGGTGAAGGTTGCAGTGAGCTGAGATTGTGCCATTGAACTCCAGCATGGGTGACAGAGCAAGACTTCGTCCCAAAAAATAAACAAACAAACAAATAGATGGCACCTAATTAAACTTAAAAGCTTCTGCACAGCAAAAGAAAGAATTCACAGAGTAAACAGACAACCCATGGAATGGGAGAAAATCTTCAAAACTATGCATCCAACAAGGGACTAATAGCCAGAATTTACAAGGAAGTCAAATAAATCAGCAAGAAAAAACAAATAATCCCATCAAAAAGTGGGCAAAGGACATGAATAGACAATTCTCAAAGGAAGATATACAAATGGCCAAGAAACGTATGAAAAAATGTTCAGCATCATTAATCATCAGGGAAATGCAATCAAAACCACAATGAGATATCATCTTACTCCTGCAAGAATGGCCATAATTAAAAAATCAAAAAATAACAGACGGTGGCATGGATGTAATGAAAAGCGAACACTTTTACACTGCTGGTGGGAATGTAAACTAGTACAATCACTATGGAAAACAGTATGAAGATTTCTTAAAGAACTAAAAGTAGAACTACCATTTGATCCAGGAATTCCACTACTAGGTATCTACCCAGAGGAAAAGAAGTCATTATATGAAATAGACACTTGCACACACATGTTTATATTAGCACAATTCACAATTGCAAAAATATAGAACCAGCCTAAATGTCCATCAACCATCAAGTGGATAAGGAAAATCTGAGATATATATATATATATAAATATATAAATATATATATAAAATATATATAGTGATATATAGATATATTATATATGAAATATATAACATTTTTTATATATATATATATACCATGTATACTGCTCTGCCAATAAAAGGAACAAAATCATGGCATTCATATATATATGCATATATATTATATATTATAATGTATAAATGATATATATAGTGTAATATTTATACCAAGCATACTGCTCTGCCAAAAAAAGGAACAAAATCATGGCATTCAGAGTAACCCAGATGGAGTTGGAGACCATTGTTCTAAGTAAAGTAACTCAGGAATAGAAAACCAAACATCGTATGCTCTCACTTATAAGTAGGAGTTATGAGGATGCAAAGGCATAAGAATAATATAATAGACTTTGGGGACTCAGGGGAAGGGTGGGAGTTATGTGTGGAATAAAAGACCACACATTGGATACAATGTACACACCTCAGGTAATGGGTGCACTGATATCTCAGAAATCACCACTAAAGAACTTTTCCATGCAACCAACCACCTGTTCTTCCAAAACTGTTGAAATATTAAAATGTACACGTATGTTTGTTGAGGCACTATTCATAATAGCAAACACTTGGAACCAACCCAAATGTCCATCAATGATAGACTGGATTAAGAAAACGTAGCACATATACATCATGGAATACTATGCAGCCATAAAAAAGGATGAGTTCATGTCCTTCGCAGGGACATGGATGAAGCTGGAAACCATCATTCTCAGCAAACTATCACAAAAACAGAAAACCAAGCACTGCATGTTCTCACTTATAGGTGGGAATTGAACAATGAGAACACCTGGACACAGGGCAGGGAACATCACAAGCTGGGGCCTGTCGGAGGGTGGGGGGCTGGCGGAAGGAAAGCATTAGGAGAAATACCTAATGTAAATGACGATTTGATGGGTGCAGCAAACCAACATGGCACATGTATACCTATGTAACAAACCTGCACATTGTGCACATGTACCCTAGAACTTAAAATATAATAATAATAATAATAATAATAATAATAATAAAAGAACTTTAAGAATCCCATGAACTCTTCTTTGTGCTTTTCCTTTTCTTGTTTTTTTTTTTTTTTTTTTTTTTTCCCATTACTCTTTTTCCTGAAGAAACCATTTTCTTGGTGGAGCAGAGCAAGCAGGAATCAAAAGTGGAAGCAGGTGGAAGCTTCGGCCACCCAAGAACTTGTTCATAGTGAATTCTGCATATTTGTTAAATACAACAAACAAATAAATACAAATGTATTAGTTCATAGATCCTTGAATATTACTTATTACAATTTCATATTTAGCTTAAAGGTGTCTGAGGCATATTCACTTTGAAATATTGATTTAGGCAACCAGGTTTAGTCCCAATAATTCTGGAGAAAACTTTAAACTGGAATAACTCACTTGTGATTATCGGCACATAGTTCAGTTAATCCGCAGTTACTAAGGGAAAAGTACAGTGCAAGTATCTGAGAGCTAGAATTGAGCCCCGAGAAGCAATGATGATGACGATATTGAAGGATAAATCGTGTTCTGTACAATATTTCAAGATGAGTATTAGCTAAGGTCAGTCTTGATGTGCAATTCCACTGTAGTTTATTCCCAGGAAATTATTTTCAGAAAAATTCAGAAGCTTGGGAAGTGATAAAGGCAAAGAAGTTTGTGAATTCATTAAAGAGGACATTTAAACATTGAAAATTAGAAACAAACTCTTTCTGGGATGATAAAATGACGCTGGAGACATCTAGCAGTGCTTGGAAGAGATAAAATGATGGCAGTTATCAAATTTTAAAAATAAAAGAAAGTAGTTTTTTATTTTTGTAAAATTACTGAAAAATTTATAATAGCTGGATGACATATTCTAGCAGTGCAGATCCTCCCTAACAAATAATGGAGTTAGCAGAGTGAATCTCAGCAGTGTTGAAAGGAAGACAATTGTAGGGACTGCAGTGAATGAGTCATCTCAATAAGCCATGACATTAAAGAATTCTGAATAGAAGACCACCCACCATCACCTCCACTTATTGTAAGCCTGTTGGCAAACATGAAAATTAAGAAATCAGCTATCAAGTGAAAATGATAAAAAATTTGCCAGAGTCATATAACAGAAAGTGAATTAAAGTTTCTTGGTGTTAATTATACCTATTAATACAACTCTGTTATAAAAGGCTCTATTTCTTAATTTAGATATCTCAAGAGTGCAAGGAAAAGGAGCTATGTAGATGAAACTAATTACCTGGTAAAAATTATTTTTAAAAATTTTACTGAAAATGGTGCTTCATTAATATGAATCAATAATGCAATTTGACTGCTGAAAAGGCTAATGCATACTCAAGCTTCATTAATTAAACCAGAGCACCAAATCACAGGAAATAGTAGTTTGATTGTACTTGAGTTTATTAAAAGTTAGTTTGAAATATATGTATCTCAAGGATTTGCACTTTGAGCAAATAAAAGCCATGCTAGACTATACAAGAAAAGAGGAGATTTGAAATCATACAATAAGCAAAGCATTTTCTCCTAGTGATTTTTCTGTTGAGATACTTTGCCTAGCATTGCCTGAAATGCTTTTTCCTGAGATCTTCTCACGATGGCCCTTTCTAATCATTCAGGTTTCAGCTGTAATCTCACCTCCTGTAGATGAATGCTTTGGTTATTCTCTGTACCTAACGCTTTTCTCTTTCAAGGCAACACCTTCCCATCATCTTGTTTATTTATTTTCACAGTAATAAACATCATTTTATGTTTATATATCTGCATATACGTCATCCAGAGAGTATGCTTCATGGGAGCAGAAATGTCTCTGTACTGATTATTTCTGTATTTCTAGCCAAGCAATACCTGACACATAGAAAAACATTGATGTACATGAATTAAGTATGTTTTAATATATTGGGAATATTTGAACTAGAGAAGTTTAAAGTAAAATGCAATAGTTTTACTGAGACAGTATGTATTGTTTTAAAATACAGAGTGATGAATAGTAGTTTGAATTTGAAAGAGGGCATATTTCACTTCAGTGCAAGAAACAGCTTCCATACAACTGAAATATTCAATGAATGAAGTTGCCTTATTCAGAAAGACGTGTGCAAAAAAAAAATGTAGAAACTACATGTTCACCTGTTAATTAAACTGTACAGGTTTAAAATGGTTAGATGGCCTGTAAGAGCCCTCCAAACTCTTGGACCTTATCGTGATATAATCTACAATTTATTATACATTTTATTTCAAGAAGAAATTATTAAAATGTTACTCAGTAGCATATGTCTCCCCCTATGATTCCTACTAACTTTATATCTGCATTTTTTAGAGCAGGTTGTTCCAAAATATTTTGAGGAAAAAAACTAGTATTTTTTATGTAATGAGGTATATAAACATTACACTCAACCCGACCAATCTAGATCCAATTCTAGAACCCATTGCATTATTAACAAAAATTATTAACCAAAATTCTGTGGCAGATACGGCTGTTCTCCCTGATACTATACTTAGTTTTTTACTTTTAAAATTTAGAACTATAGATAGCTGTGTTATTTAGAAATTAAGCTAATTTTTTATCCATTTATATTTCTTGTTGCTATTGCCTTAGGAATATATACAAATGTTACATCTCCTCTACTAAATGTAAACAATTATGAGGTATTTTGTCTATTTTCAAATATTTTATTTGGATTTCCAAATGTACTTTTATTAATCAGGATTATTTCTGTTGTAATAACAGAAAATTATCTACAATTACTTTAAGCATTGAGAAAAGAGAACTTACTGCCTCATGTACCTAAAAATCTCTGAGAAGGACCTAGCTTTATCATAGCTGAATTCAGGGGCTCACTCCTTTTCTCCCCATTGCCCAATTTGGTGTTCTTTTTTGTTGGCTTCAATCTAATGCAGGCTCTTTCCCTGGAAATTACAAAATTATGTTCCACCAGTGTAACCATTCCACTAAAAGTGAATTCACTAAATTTAACAGTTCTAGCAATTCCTGATCATAGTCTTTCATAGGCCCACATTGGGTTGAATGCATTTTTCTGGGAAGATTCAAACCTGAGGCCCTCGCTGATCATCTCCAAACTAATACCATGGACTGACAATTCGGGATGGGGGAAAATTGCTCTCAAAAAGAAAAAAAAAACACTCTATTACTAGAAGAAGGGTAGATTCTTTATGGTAAGTAAACAATAGTCATTTATTACAGGTCCTCTTCTTCCTGCTTTTGGGAAATTTGTGAATAATTCCGAGGTTACCTTACTCAAGGATTCACAACCATGGTTTTGAAATCCTGTTCTTCATCCTTCTCATTTTAATTCTTCATTTTAAATTAGTTCCTCATTTTACTATTTCCTGATATAATCTCCCTTTCCTTATGCATTGGCTCTATTTTATTGCCCATTTGTGGTTTCATCATGTGTTTCTTGATGCACGGTAAACGTAACCACACAGCCATATAAAATTGGAGGACCATTTTCTGTTGGCTTTCTATTACCTTTCTGAGAAACCAATGTTTCATTGACTGTTAAAGGCTGAATTTTAAGCTCATTATCTTAGAGTAAAATTTAAAATAGTCCTTAGATGTTTTTTCTTATATTGTTATCTAGAAATCAGCACTCAGTTCATTTGATTAGTTCATTGTACAAATACTTTATATTAGAGTTGTTCCCATGTAAGATATTTTGTATATACAGAAAACAGCTTGTCTTGAGAAGACAGAGAGAAATGGATTTAATCTAGATATATCAAGAGAGACATAATAGCTAATTACTGAGATATCATATTAAAATTATTAGGTTATAGGGGCAACTCTTAAACCTCTGAGGAATATTGTAGATCTTTATTGTAGACACCATTAAAGTGGAATACAATATACTCCATAGAAAATATATTTTTAGGCATTGCTTTCTCTCACCACTCTTTTTCAGCAAACTCTGAATTAGGGACAAACAATCACAAACCCAAAACTCTGCTCTTCTCTATCCTCACAGCCTCTGCCCACACAGTCTGTTTTCTCTCTATCTGCACCTTCATTGCCCTGGATCTTCACACACCTCTCAGGACTTGGTAGAATCTGTTCTCTGTTTCCAACTGGTACTCTTGAGAAGAACAAACTTTTTGGTTACAATAGTTTAAAAAACAATAAACAAAAAAACTTCACCTGGTTTTATCACTAGATTTCATAATATTTTAGAATACTTTCAAACTTGGGAGTTTCTTGGTATGTGTTCTTCAGAAAAATGTATTAAGATGTCAAGTGAAATGACAGGTAGTAACTACAACTAAGAAATTACATTTAGAAAATCTGCCATCTTACCTCTATGAGGTATATTCTGTTTCCAAACAGACAGCATAAAATCACAGTTGAGATTCCGGAGTTAGAGTGTAGGAATGCAAAAGAGTTATTCATGTGTTATGCACTTCAATTGCCTTACCGGTAACATCAGAATGATATTAATTAATGTACCTCATAGGATTGTCAAGAGTAAATGGTGTAATGCATGACACATATTAAAAACAATAGTTCTAGTTTTAAGTATTTCTTATCTGAAATCAACACCCAACTGATTATTGTTCCATCTCGTGAACATTCCTGGCAAAACATTTTAAGAGATGTTATTAAATATTTCCTCTTTATGTTTCCTCTGAAATGACTTTTATTTTTTGACATTAAAAATGTTGATTTTTCTAAAATGGGTTGGTTTCCTCAACAATACTTTATTATTGGTTTTGCACCCCAATTTGGATTAATGCTCAGTATTCTATGATTTTCTTGATTTGACGTAGAGCCTTTCTCATGTTTAAGGATTATAATTTTAATCTTTCCAACCTCTGCCACATCAGCTATTCATGAAGGCAAGATTGGGCAACAGTTAGTGACATCCTTAAGATCCTCCAGTACGGAAAATGAGTGCTGACACATTCCGTGGGGGCTATATGATTTGGTTTATTCAACTTGCTTTTGTGCTTCCAAAGCACGTGTTATTTATTTCTATGTCATTAACTATTGTATTTTATTTTAATTATTTATATGACTTATTCTTGTTTTGACTCTGTTTGTCTTGAGGATTTTTTCCATTCATTTATTTCATTATCATTGCTCTCTAATTTCTGTCAAAACACACACACACATGCACACACACACACACACACACACACACACACACGTACACACACCAGATCCAAAACATATTAAAGAGTTGATACTTATTTAGAGAATGGGTCTGTATAATATTAAGTACAATTTGATAAAGAATCGTGAGCTTGACAATAAAAACTCTCAACACATTGCTTACGGAAGGTAAAATAAAGCATTCTGTTGCCATTTTTGCCCTCTCAAATCTTTGCCTTAATCTCAAAATTATCAAGAATATATCGAGTTGTCCTCATATTGGTGAGATAACAACAAACAAAAGCAAACATTTGTTGGATGACTATCAGAATAGCATCGGGCTAGGTACTTAACTGGAGAGAAGTGAATTTGGACAAGGTTGAGTTATTGGGAATTACAATTTTGCTTTGAGTCAAATAAAAGGAAGCGGTGAATGAAGGTAGCCAGAGAGTTTACTGAGTATACTTAGGTAATAAAAAGGGCTTGCCACAAAATTCCAATCACATTGTTTTATTTGCATTCTTGAGTTTCCATTTAGATACGATTGTTCAAAGTGCAGACCTATGTATCTTAAGCATGAGAGAGTAGCCCAGAGGGAAGGAATCAAGGGAGTAACAGTGTGAATAAAACATTTGTGAAAGCTTACAAATTCCTTATAATATGCTTCTTGAATAATTTTGTGCTTTATATATTTTAGTTTTTATATAATTTTTCATAATTAATGAGATTCCTAGACTTCTATTATTTGCATTTGCTACTTATTTAGGTTTTCCTTTAGTTGAGCACTGGGCAGCTAGTTCCTATAGGGTCCTGGTGAGCCAAAATCTAGACAACATAAAAACTCTTTTTTCCTTTATTATTATTGACTAATTTAAGTTATATTAATATAATATAAACCTATTTCCACATTTTAAAGTAGATATTTGTGAAAGTGTTTCTGGGTTTAAAAATTTTGTAATTGCCAGCATGAAACTATAGGTCCCTCAAATCGTAATATGGAACCCTGTCAAAGACTAATCAACATAGATACACTGTAAGTAAGAACTCTCAGAAATGGTGCTTGAGTGAAAAGCATTAAAATGCCAGTTTTAAATTTTATGCTGGCATTTTTAACAGGAAAACAATTTTTATGAATGCCCTCTTATGTACCAGTATGGAAGAAGTGTCATAAATGTAACAGAGCTATTGAAATAAGAACTATTTCTAACTCAGGTGAGAACCTGTCCTTTTCTCTTCCCAGGAAATGACAACTACTACCATATTTGAAAATTAGATAGGGGAATACCCAAGTAGGATTTATTAAGAAGGTGGTGTATCTTCCAGCTTATAAAGTAAGTTGGAACAACTATGTAATATGGTTGAGGTAGGAGTGAGAATTTTTCCTCACTGTAACACACACACACACACACACACACACACACACACTTTAGGAATACATTTACTTGCAGTTCTCTAGAGGGATGGAAGATAGAAATTGGTGCCAGATATGCATTTGGAAAAAGAGGGTGGCTGATTACCTTTTCTAATTACAAAATTGAAAGGAGTAACCTGAATTTCAGAGCTTACCAGAACGAAGGATGTTCTCACAGTAGATGACAGTCATCTGAATCAGAGCATCATTGAAGGGATTTTGCCTAAAAGGGACAGGAGTGTGGTTAAGAAGGGAATTCTAACAGAGAAAGGCTCAATAAATTGAACATAACAAAATCAGGGAATGATGGGGAACTTATATATGACCAACCAAGGGAAAATGCATCCCTTATTTCATTAAAAGTATCTCAGAAGAGCATGCTTCAAGACAGAGTTTGCTTTAAAGACCAGCAAAGCACAGAGAAATTCAATGCCAAATAATATCAGTCACTCTCAAAAATAAAATTCCTACCTTTTACCTCTTTTCTCATTAATCCCCCACTTCCTTTAATCCTGGAACAGCTTAAGGCAGCCTAGTGAGAGATGGAGAAGAATACAGATATAGGCAAAAAATAGAAAATATATCATGCATTCAGCCATATCCTTCTGCAAACTTCCCATCTGGAAAGCTTGATCGTTAAAAAGGACAAGATTTATTTCAAACAAAGTTCTTGAAAGAGATGCTTCTCATTTGAATGAAAACAGAAGAGCAAGCAATAGAGTTAAAGAACGTGTCAAAAATTCCATCTAAGGCAGGAAAGTTCCATTCTTACAGAGTAGGTTAAAATGAGTAGGAGGAAGAAGGAAATGGATTTGTTTTCTGACTGCACTCTAAAAACCCAATTTGTTCAATAAAATATATCTATAAAAATTAAAATTGCAAAGCTTTAACAAACATTTATTTTTCTGAGAAAGGAAAATCTAAAAGATCAAACATCTAACATTAAATTTCTTAATTATTTTTTAGAAAAACAGTTGATTCTACATAAATAAATTTTCTTAATTTGAGGCATCTTCCCAGAAAGAATATTAGGAATATACACAATTAAGTGAAATGTCAGCAAGCCTTAAAATTGTGAAAACTGGAATGTAAATGAAATTATCAGCAATTAATTTTTTGTCATTATCTAACAATCCCCAATACTGGCTATATTATTTTTCTGTTAACACTTAAAAATAAATGTTTGTAGAAAAGTGATTAATGATTGAATAGATGGATAGGTGAATGGCTAGATAAATGCATAGGTAAGTAAAAAAAAATGTATCTGAAGTTTGAGAAAGGTACCTGAATAAACTTCTTGGCAGTGGCTACTTTATTTTTATTAACATAAAAAATAATGCGACTCAAGAATTTTATGATCTGAGCTGATGGAAACAGTATGGATGAAAATAGCTAAATTTGAATAGATTTATGAACACTATATTTGAATCTGTTCAGAGTATTTAATGCAGCTAATTTATCACTATGAACACTTTTTCTTCTTTGCTGAGATTAATATGAATTTGTGCTGCTGTGAAAGCAGAGGGGAAAAAATCCTTCCTTTATTCAACCTCTCATACTGGCTGAGCAGAGAAATAGGAGCTACAGGAGGGATTCCTTGCAGAATTCAGAGTAGGAGCTCTCGAGAGAGAATACCGGGTGTTCTTGTGGAGAATGACAGATCATTATTTACGTTCATCACTGACTCCATGGCTTACTCCTGGACAAGTGGCAGGAAGTATACACAAAGGAATGAATGTGTGAAACTTAGTTTTAAAAGGTTACCATAAAGGAAATAAATGAAAAACATGAAAGCAGAGGTGCCTCTTCCATATTCAGCCCTTCACTTGAACTCACTATTTTTTTTAAAAAGCGAAATGATCAGAAAAATGTCATATCTAGGTATAAAAATGGAGGAACACAATTTTCTTACATAACAATTTAATGGGAGTTTTGAAAAATATGAATATTGTTGTTTTGAATTAAGTGAGAATATCGGTATCAAATAAAAAGCACTGTAATAACATGCTATGTTAACTTATTTTAACTATCATTAATAGAAATAATTTCACAAACATTAAGTATATCCAACTAACATTCATTTTTTCAACCTTCTGTAAAGTGTTTTAAGATGGGTTGGCTAATTTTAAAGATATTTTATTTTGAAAATTTGCTAAATATGTTGTTCCGAGGTACCTTTTAACATTAGTAACTCTTGACTTCACACTGGCTACCAGTCTACTGTCTACCTGACTACATTTTGGCTTATGTACTTTTTAGTTACAGGAATCTCAAGGGCTGGAATTTGTTTTTAAATTTCATGCTTTTCTATTTGAAGTAAAAATATAAATAAAGAAAGCAGAGCAAAGATTAATTAACCAAACACTGTGTTTGATGAAAACTGTCAGATGGCAAGGAAAATGGACGTAAGAGCAAATAAATGTATGCATACCTGCAGGCTCCAGGAGACACATCAGTATTTTCACACAATGGATAGTGTATTGAATACACAGTAGGAGTCCTAGTACTCACTAAGGCTTGCCTATTATTAGGTGAAGATGGTAGGTGTATGACAGGTTCAGCCTGATCACAAGAATGAAATTTAAATATAAAGGCACATTTAAATTCTTCTGAGAGATGCAGTGTGGCAGTTGGAGAGCAGAGCAGGAGCAACACGAGTGAGGAAGTAAGTGACTCTTGGCAATTAATCACACATGTCAAAGAACAGTCAGGAGGATCTGTTGCATTTGACAAAATAAGGGACTCCTTATACTCCTGAAGAAGAGGTCCTCCAGGTCCTCTTGTCCTGGTAACTATGTTTGTTTTAATCAGAGTGGCACTAGGATGAGACACTAAGTGGAAAAATAGAAATTCAATAAATATAAAGTAATTCATGACATTGTATAATCATATTGTTGATTTTACTATACCTTTAATATTCAGTAAAAATAGCAATAAGCAATCTTAATTTATATATATATATAATTACAAAGAGTGTATTTTCTTTTGTTTGCTTTGGCATTTTGGTTCATTTTTACACATGTGCTTTTACTGTATGATAGTTGGAGGCACGTGGAGCCTTCTGATACATCCCCATCTGTGCCTACTATTCTGTTGACTCTCATTCCTGCTCTCTCTTTTGTCCTCACATTGCTAAAACCCCTGAATCACCATTTACTACTCACTCTCTCTCTCATACCTTGCCTCTCATCTGTTCATAATTATACCAGAATTGCTTGTGAACTATCTTTCTATTCCTGCCCTTTTTCTGGTTCCCAGTTTCTGCTTTTTTACATCTCTTCCACAAAATTACAAGAATTATTTTCTAATGTAGACCTAGTCATACCATTTTTTCTTAAAGAAAATCCTTGAATGTAAGCACAAGAGAATCAGATTTGGGTATTTAAGAGATGTTGTAAAAGCATTCTTTGATATGAATATATTATATAAAACCAAAGAGAATCTATATTATTATCTAACTTGCAAGCTTGTCCAACCTTCCTTATATTTTGTTTTTGTTCTTTTTTTTAATTTTTATTTTAGGCTTTCAGCAGCCTGAAGTCACGGTTTTTCATTTCTGTCTCTAGTGATAAGTGGAAAACAGGGATAAGGAAGGGGCTTTACGGGTCTAACCAGAAACAAAAACTAAGAACCCATGACTGTATGGTTTCCAGTGGATACCCTGAATATGTTTTATTTTAAATAAAAATAATACCTTTTATGTATTTTGTGTATATAGGCTTAAAGGAAGTGCTTCAGCCTATTCACTGTTTGTCTCCAATAAACATGCATTCTTTTGGTAATGAGATGCCCACTCCCATGCCCAATTCAAGACATGACACAATCTTGATGGCAATGTGTACAGCTTCTTTAAGACTTTCCAGGATCTTTTCCAGCCTTCTTTCCTAGCTCATAATGTTGCAAATTCTCTTTATCCTATGCCCTGCCTCCAGTCCGCTGTAGCCTTGTTAGATGCCAATCTTTTCCCAGAGAACTTTGTTCATTTTCAAGAATTTTTTCCTTTTTACATATTATTCCTTCTGCCTGAAATTTTCTTCTCTTTCTTGTCTGATTGATGAATTCCTATTTGTTCTTTAGGACAATTCAGGTTTTATGTGCGTGAAGATGTACCTAACCTCACTGAGGAAATGAATTGTTCTGTCTTGGATACGGTATTAGAACAACCTGAATATATACAACAGCTATCAATTATACACTAGGTGTTTTTTAGCTTTCTTGGCTCCCTGATAAATGATGAGCTTTCTTAGACTATGTCTTCCATGGATTGTATTTTATTTCATATTTTATTCACAATCTTTAGTGAGCTACTGTGAATTTGGTAAGTCTTCAACAAATGTTTACTCAATGAATGCAAGAAAGAATCTGAGACATAAGAGCTGGTCGCCTTAACTTCAGATTTTTAGAAAATTATTTCTTTTATATATTTGTATCATCTAAGATCCTATTTGAATTTTCAATATCATTTTCTTGATATTTCAGTATAATTACTGCCCTTATTTCTTACTTCTTCCAATCATCCCCACATAAGATTATATTCAAATACACATCCCTGAATTCCTGAATAATATCTTTCAGAGATTGGAATTGTTTCCAAGTAGGAAGAATTCCCAAGGAGGGAGAAACTGTATGATGCAAATTTGGACCTTGAGCATTCAATCTTCTCCCCAGTCGTCCTCTAAGAACTTATGTCCTCAGAACTTTTATAATGGAAGATAAGCATGGCGGGGAGAGGGGAACAAAACAATACACAGACAATTGTGCCTAGCATTAGGAATAAATAAAAGCTTCACACATAAATGATTTTCAAGAGACATACATGTTATCTCATAGTTTTCTTAAACTTAAGTCCTGAGTTCTCAATAGAAAAATATTAAATCGTGGGCTGAGGAAGGAAGAGAATATGTGGATGGAAAGGTAGTTGGGGATACACTCAATTTGCTCATAGCGATTTTTATTCAGCACAGCATAGTTTATGCCAGACAATAAATACTCAATAGATTGTTGTTATTTGAAATAGTGAATTCCACGAATAATAGTTGAACATCTATTATCATTGGTCAAGCCCTTTTCAAGGCCTAGGGAATTCCTAGTTTAGGGAAGAAATGCTGTATGTTGCTTATCTTATCTGTAAATACTTAAAGAAGATACAGGCTCTGTCAGACTCTGTGAAAGGAAAATAAATCTTTGGGCTCCAAAATCACTAAGCTACTGGGAAAACTCAAGCTGGGAACTGCTTAGGGCAAACCTACCTCCCATTCTATTGAAAGTCACTCGTCTGCTCACTGAGATAAATACATATCTGATTGTCTCCTTTGGAGAGGCTAATCAGAAACTCAACATAATGCAACCATTTGTCTCTTATCTACCTATGACCTGGAAGCCCCCTCCCTGATTCGAGTTATCCCGTCTTTGCTTCAAGTTGTCCCGCCTTTGCTTCAAGTTTTCCTGCCTGTCTGGACCAAACCAATGTTCATCTTACATATATTGATTTATGTTTCATGTATTTCTAAAATGTATAAAACCAAACTGTGCTTTGACCACCTGGGGCACATGTCGTCAGGTCTTCCTGAGGCTGTGTCACGGGGCATGCATCCTCAACCTTGGCAAAATAAACTTTCCAAATTAACTGAGACCTCAGATATTCAGGGTTCACAACACTAAACAGCATTCTGGACACAAAGAGAACAAGCCAGTTGTCATTCCTGAATTCACAGAACTCCCAAGCTGAAATCATAATAGAACAATATTTAAATGATATGAGCAGAAATTGATAAAGCTCTAATTATACCTAAAGGAAAATAAAATAACTTTCAGAAATGTGTTAAACATTTATTGATGGATATGCCAAGTATTGTACACAGATGTGTCATTTATACCACCCTGCTGGTTTATTATAGTGCTATTTGTTTCTGAAATGCTTCTATAATTTTGCATATACTAAAACAGAACAATTTATTTTAGTACAATATGTAATTTTATTTGAGTTCTGTTCTGTACTCTCTCTCAGCCAATATTTGATCTAGCTTGCTTTCATTGAGTTTATTATAAAGTGTGGTTTACATCAGTCTAAACTTTATCTGCCATTTACTTTTCGTTTTGGTTAACAGTTTTGATCATGACTGACAAAAGGAAAGCAAGTGATAGTGCTTAACTAGCTGCAAAAAAATAAAAGACATATCACACATGATATGAAATTGGAAGTCATATAGATTTCCATCAGAAAAGCCTCAGAAAGTGATTGAGAAAAAAGATGGCAAAGATTATCATACAACTTAGAACTGGTGAATGGGTTTTCATATTATAAAAAGTATCAGGAAATTTAGTGCAACTTGAGAGTATGGCAAAAGAATCATGTAAGAGACAGTTGAAAGTGAAGATAACAAACTAACAATTGCAAGTTTGCTATGCTGTAAATACCAGTACTGTGTTGCAAACACATTTCTGTGGGGATAATGCCATGAGGGCCTATGCAAAACAGGTCCATTTAACAAGAAAGACTATGTTCAGTGATGCATCCCCTCCCTATCTAATCTGTGTATGTAAGTATAGTGTCTTTTATATTAGTTATATAAGGACAGGAATAAAACAAAAATAAGTGGCACTGAGCTGGACTTAGAACAATAAATTGTATTTCAATAAGTGGCCAATAAAAAAAAGAGAAAATCAGTCAGAAGAAGTAACCTAAATACATGTGTCATATTCTGGGTCTTGAAAATCTTACAGGATAAGGTTAAAACTGGGGAAAGAAAAAATATTCGAAATTTAATGTAAAGCAGTTGTAGAAAGTATTCTACATTTTTATATTATTAAAGTATGTGTAGTTACTTTAGTTTTGATATGAAGTTGAAAATATTATTAATATAATCAAAAGGAAATAAAGGCAACTGGAGATCATATATTTTACTATAAATGAGCTTAGATTTTTAAAATAATTCCTCTTTACAGGTTTTACAATTTGACCTATTGTATATCTTTCTTACCTGTCAACCTTACCTATCGAGAATATACTCAAGAAAAAAATAAGGTAAAAATACTGTAAATAACCATAATGCTTCCTAAAATCTAATTTATTTTATTGACAATAGAACACTTAACATAGTTCTATTTAACAATCCAAACTTCTTACCTCTACTTTACCTCTCAGTTCATAAGAAATCAGAAGCAATAATATCAACAGGTTTTAGAGTTGATTTCTGCTTGTTGATATGAAGAAGTAGCTTGCAGAAAAAAATGAAACCAGACAAAATATGATGGGATCATCTGTCTCTAGAGTTGCTAGCCAGGATTTGAGGGAGCCTAGCAGAGGTGGGCTGATGTTCTGCAAGATGTACTAGCTAAACTCAGTGTATTTGTTGATGCTTAGGGACGACAGAAAGGCTGTGAGGTCAGACATAGAACTATTATTGAGAGGCCAGAATGCCAGTAGAGCTTTCGTCAATTTCATAAGACTGGGGAGAAAAATTGAGCTTAAGGGTGCAATGGCAGCCAAACCTTACATACCAAGATCTCAGAAAAAGTGAAGCATAGAGAAGACAAAATTTTGTGATTTTCCTCTTGCAGCATTTATTGAAATCTTAATTTACACAGGAGTAGAAGCAAAAAACTAAACAGATAGTTGCTCAAGAATATTACAAAATTCTTTGACAATCTTAAAGTGTGAAAGAGATAATATTAAAAAGAGAAAAACATAAAGGGCATATCAAGAAGAAGGACTCTTGGTAAAGGCGTGAGTTATCTCAGCTCTTGACTAGATTATGGTAATCTGCCTCATCCTAGCCACTCAAAAAAAGAAAGACTAGAAGAAGAGAACATTGTTTAGAGACTCTGAAATTATAAATGTGAGTTGTCCCACAATCAATGAGAAAGTACCCAACATACCAAGAGACAATACCAAGAGAAATAAATGACCATAAAATGTAACCGAAGGAAAACCTCGATATTGTGTTTACTAGGAACATACTTTAAAATAAGTGTGATTTAAGTTTAAGAAAGCAGATGATATAATGGAGAATTTCACCAGAGAATCTGAATCTATAAAAATAAAGGATATAATTTTTACAATTCAAAATATCAAAAAACTTAGGAACAAAAAAGATAAACTAAATAGCAAATTGTACAGAGCAAAAGGGGTTAAGTGACTGGAAGAGAAGGGCAATAAAAAATATTCTGACTAACACATGGAAGGTAAAGAACAAAATACAGAGAAAAGAGAGTAAAAACTCATGAGGAAAAAGTAAAATGTCTACTTTAGTTGCAGTTGGAGTTTCAGGAGAGAATGAAGAAAACACATCAGAATGATATTTAATAATGGCCAAAACCTCACCAAAACCAACAAAAGACATAAATCTACAGACTCAAAAAATGTTGCAAAATCCAAGGAGGATGAATTACAAAGAAAGGAGAACCATGGCCTGGTATGTTGTTAACATCATCAGGGTTCTCTATCTGGGTAAACTAAGCAAATGTTGGTATCACTGAAAAAATAGAGATATTTGAGGAAAGATGGGAAAATGAGATAAGGGAAACATGATGAGCTTGATTTTAGAAATGGTCAGAAAGCAGGAAAATAAGTAGTAGACATAGGCAGCCTCAAAAGAGATCTGTCTGGAGGTGCAGAAAAGAGTCCTTCACCAAAGATGTCTTTGCCCATGGAGAGGAGAGGGGAGGGACTGCATTAGTAAAGAGGGTTGCAGGAACTCACAGAATCCAGGACCCTGTACCAAGTCTCCAAATATTTCAAATTGAACCCCCCCTTTGGTTTCACTTGGCTTATATAAATTGAGGAGTTTGGCAGAGATAATTGTTGTTATACGTATTTTGAATTTTAGGATTGTATGCATTTTATGAAGTTTTCATATGTTTTGTCTCACTATAATATGTTATGATTGAAAAAAGGCAAATATTTAAAGTCTCCATTACAACCACAATGGAACTGACCTTGAGAAAAGTTAAATGTGTTGTATGTATGGAATCTCTCTGGCTTTAACTTTCTAGAACTCATCCTCTAAGTCAAGAAAGCATGATTTTTTTATGAAGTCTAAAATGTAAAATATTTACATTTTAAGGAATTATAATTTAGGAGTGATAATGGGATTGTGATTATGTTTTTAAGAATCCTTTTGTTTAAGACATATGTACTAATTTTTTTTTTTTTTTTTTTTTTTTGAGCTGGAGTCTCACTCTGTCGCCCAGGCTGGAGCGCAGTGGCATGATCTTGGCTTACTGCAAGCTCCGCCTCCCAGTTTCACACCATTCTCCTGCCTCAGCCTCCCGAGTAGCTGGGACCACAAGCGCCCACCACCACTCCCAGCTAATTTTTTGTATTTTTAGTAGATACGGGGTTTCACCATGTTAGCTAGGATGGTCTGGATCTTCTGACCTCGGCCTCCCAAACTAAAATATTTTGAGTATGATACTGGAATTTGCAACAGAATGATACAGTAAGTAAAATAGTAATTCTCTATATGTTTTTATTTTATTTTATTTTATTTTATTTTATTTTATTTTATTTTATTTTATTTTATAGAGATGGGGTTTCACCCTGTTGCCGAGGCTAGTCTAGAACTCCGGAACTCAAGCAATCTGCCAGCCATGGCCCTTGGCCTCTCGAAGTGCTGGGATTACAGGCATGAGCCACCATGCCCAGCCCCTATTTCTTGTTTTGGGTCATTCTAAAATACATCTGTACAGTTACCAAAACCCATCCAACTAAAAATTTAAGCTTTTTGCATTTTAGTGGATGCAAATTGTGTCTTAGTAAGAAGAACATACAAAAACTAACAAAGATAATGTTGAAGAAAATAACAAAGCTTAAGGACTTAAACTATTACCATCAAGACATGTATAACTACAGTAATTTTAAAAACTGTTTTCTTGCATAAGTATAGAGAAATGTACTAATAGAAAAGAATAAAAATTAGAAACAGACAAAAATAATCACCTGATAGTTCATTCTGTAATATAATTAGGAAATAATGGTCTTTTCAATAATACTCATGAGTCAACTGAATACATGTGTAAGAAAAAAATCAACTGTGCCTTCTACTTAACAATATATTAAAAATTTAATTCCATACAGAAAATAGATGTAAATGTGAAAGACAGAAAAATAAATCTTCCAGAAGAAAACATAGGAGAGTACCTTCATGACCTAGGATTAGACAGAAATTTTTTAACTAGGTCACAAAGGCACTAGTCATAAAGGAAAAACAGAAAGAGAAATAGGGTTACATTAACATTAAGACCTTCTATGTATCAAAACACACCACGGAAAATGTGAGTAGGTATAGCATAGACTGGGAGACTTTGCAAGGCATGTATTTGATAGAGGCTTATATACACAATATATAAGAACGTGTACAATTCGACAATGTAAAAAGCTCCATAAAATACTAGGTGAAAGTTTTCAATGGGCATTATAAAAGGGACCAAGGAACATATGAAAAATTCCCAATCTCACTAACGGCAAAAAAGGCAAATTAAGAGGCAATGCCATTGTTCACACAGTCTCCAAAATGTTAAATCTAAAAGAGAGACAATACCTAGTTCTAGTAAGAATGTGGAGTAAATGAACTTTTCGCATACAGGTGGTGAGAGTGCAAAATAGTAAAAATAACTTAGAAAATTGTTGGCAGGCCGGGCGCGGTGGCTCATGCCTGCAATCCCAGCATTTTGGGAGGCTGAGGTGGGCAGATCAGGAGTTCAGGAAATCAAGACCATCCTGGCTGACAAGGTGAAACCCTGTCTCTACTACAAATACAGAAAATCAGCCTGGCATGGTGGCACGCAACTGTAGTCCCAGCTACTCCGGAGGCTGAGAAAGGAGAATCTTTTGAACCCAGGAGGCAGAGGTTGGAGTAAGCTGAGATCGCGCCACTGCACTCCAGCCTGGCGGCAGAGCGAGACTCCATCTCAAAAAAAGAAAATTCTTTGGTGGTATCCACTGATGTAGAACATGTGACCTAGTAATTTTATTCCTTGATATAACAAAGTTTAGCCTGCAATGGAATTGGGAAATAATGGTCTTCATTGGTTTTTTAAATGGTTTTTCATTTCTTAACACATACCACATATTCAAGAAATAGAATATTATAGTATCTCTAAAGCCTCCTTTATGCTCTCTCTTATTACTCTCCAAACAACCACTATACTAACTTCTGTCATATATTAATTCTACCTATTTTTGAACTCTACATAACTGGCATCATATAGTATATTTCCTTTTATGTCTTGGTTCTTTCACTGAATAATACAAATTTGATACTGAGCCTTTGTGTTTTGCATAGCAGCAATTTGTGTACTGCCATTACTACATGATTCTTACTTTTACAGATAAAGCACAATTTATTCATTCTGCTATGGTGGTCATTTGGGCTGTTTCTCGTTATTGAATTCTAATATATAAACTTCTATGAACACTTGTGCATATGTTTTTATTGATTTATGTATATCTATCTGTTGGGTATATATCAAGTATACCAAATGCATACTTATATATTTAAAAAGACTATGAATGGTTAAAAAAATCTGATAGTTAAAGCTGTAAACTTTAGATATGCATTCATTGATTTAACAGCTAATTATTAATTGAGTATGATGACATGTGAACAAAGAACATTAGAACATTTAAGATTTTCATATTTTTCTGATTGCATGTTATAAATTAGTATAAAATGTATCCTCTCCAGTTAACACACGCACACAGTCACACACACACAATATTTTATCTTATTAAACAACTAGGAAGTATCAGATACTGTACTGGGAATAATGAAAATAAAATATACAAGGCCATATCATCTTAGAATGTATTATCTAATAGGCAATTAACAAATTATCAAGAAATGGACATAAACTTGGAAATTGAAACAAGTATTGTGAATGAAATAGAAGCGAACTTCTGAAAGAGAATAATGGAGGGTAGGCAGAGGGGCAGGAAAAGAATAGGACAGTGGGTGGTGTTGAATCTGTTCTCTGAGGTTGTGGTAGTGAAGCTGAAGCCTTTTGTTCTAACTTTGCTTAGTGGGAGAAAGACCTTTTCAGTCACACCGAGCTTGTATATTCAGGGACTTGCTGAGGACATATTATACCAGATGAGGATGGGAAGTCTGGTAGAAATCACATAATCATAGCCTTAAGGGCTCTTTGGAAATGGTAAGAAAGATAGGTTTTGTTTCTCTTGCACAAATAATAGGGTGGTTTTAATTAGTGGGAGCATAATCTAATTTATGATTTAAAGTACATCTCTAGCTGCTGTATCAAGACTAGCTTGCAGGGATGAGTGAGGTGTTAAAAGACTTGGGTTGAGTTCATGTGAGAAATTATGGACCCTGCGCAAACAATGGTTTGGCAGAGACAGAGATTTTTTTTTGTATGTAGACTTGATAGCAATTGCTGATGAACTTAATTTGGAAAGGTGGTGGTTGGGCAAGGTAGAACAGAAAGTAATTTAGAATGATTTCTAGGTCTCTGGCTTGTTCACTTGAATGTATGTATATTCCTTTTATTTATTGAGAAAGAACTTAGTAACAAATCACTTTCAGAAAAGGCAGAGTTCAATTATAAGTGTGATAAGTAGTTGAAAGTCTTATATATGGATGAATCAAGTTTACAGTTGCATTAATCAGTTGAGACTTCAAAGAGGTCTGGGTAGGGGATATATTTTGGAGGCTGTCAGGATATAGTTGCTATATAAAGCCTTGAGAATATGTGAGCTCATGTAGGAAGAAACTGTAAAGAGCAAATGCCCAAGGTCTACCCCCAAGATTCAATCTCTCTGACATTTAGTGTCTGGAATAAAGCCTGAGATGGAGCAGCAAAAGAAATACCAATAATAATAATAATAATAATAATAATAATAATAATAATAACAAGAAAAAAAACCCAAAAAACAAAAAAAAACCCAACAGTGTTTTGTTATAAAATGTAAGTGAAGTAAGTGCACCAAGAAGAAGCTAGTAGCCAAATCAGAAATTTTTCTGGGCAAGTAAGGGCTAAACAAGTTCTGTATGTTTGGTTATGATCTTTGACAAAAATAGTGTTAGTGGTGGTTTTGTGGTTAAAAACCAGATGTGAATGGATTTCAGTCCATAGTGTTCTATATCTGGCATATGGCAGATTAAAGATCAGAATGATACTTTGGATTTGATTAAAGCAACTCAAATGCTGGGTAAAAGTTGAAAACAATTTTAATGCATCACTGAGCTGCACAAAAGTAAGAAATACACTGTGATTAAAAATGAAATTAAAGCAGGAACCTTGGGAGGTAAGTGAACACCAAAGCTTGTTTTCAGCCAGAGGGTTTTCTGACAAACCCTGGGAACTTGAGGTTTTGCTTTAATGAACCTCATTACATAATGGGGTATGAGGGAGAGAAGATAAAACTCAGAGCCTGCCCAAGATTCAGAATTGAGTTACATAAAGCAAACCCCTACAGTTTAATGAAAATTAAACCCCATTGCACAGAAAGGAACTGATTGGAGAATTTAAAAATCTTAACCTTGACAATAAATGAAGAGAAAAATTCACCCTGCATATTTATATTCACAAGGTGGCTTTTACATGGGGTGAACATCTATAAAAATAATGTAATTCATGCCAGGCACAGTAGCTCATGCTATAATCCCAGAGCTTTGGGAAGCCAAGGCCAAAGGATTACCTGAGGCCAAGAGTTCAAGACCAGCCTGAGCAACATAGTGAGACCTCATCTATACACAAAGAAAAAGGAAAAAAAATTATCTGGGTGTGATGGCATGTGCCTGTAGTCTTTGGTACTTGGGAGGCTGAGGCAGGAGGATTGCCTGAACCCAGGAGTTTGAGATTAGAGTGGCCTGTGACTGAACCACTGCACTCCAGTCTGGGCAACAGAGGGAGACCCCATCTCAAAAAATAATAATAATAAAAATGTATTATAATTCAAAAGGCTTCAAGTAATTCATACTTCAACATGTTAAATGAAAAGGTTAAGATTATATTATCTTGATAAAAATGGAAAATATGCAAGAAAATTCAACATTGATTCCTTATACAATTATTAGTAAATATTTTTAAGTGTGTAAATTTTGTAGACAGCAAATTATAAAACTTGACTATATGATATTAAAGAAAACCTAAAATCGATAGAAATATAACTATTTCAAGGGTTGGGAAATTCAACATTTTTATGATACAAACAACAAAGTGGCTGCAATTCTAGTAAAATTCTCAGTATGGTTTGTTTCACTTAACTTTACATTTTACATTTAATTTGTCAGTCTGATTCTAAAGTTTGCATCAAAAAGCAAATGATCAAAAATAGGCAAAGGAATTCTAGAAAAAAAGAGCAATGTGAAGAGACTGGCCCTTCCAGATCCTCAGAGCAGCTATAGAGCTATAGTAATTAACATGGAGAGGGTTAGCACAGTAGGAAACACATAGAGAAAAGGATCTAAAGAGAAAGCCTAGATATAGAACCACAGCATAGATATAAACCCATGTATATATGGAAATTTTATTTGACACACAAAAAGAATGGCAGAGTGATGCAGAAACAACAAACACATTTCAGTGTGACAATGGTACCAATAATAACAAAATATTAATGATGGTTTGGGGTAAGAGAAATATGAGAAATTATTGCTTTCTTTTTTGTGAATTTTAAATGAGATTTTCCTACAAAAACAAAGATAGTAAATAATATAACAAGTAGTGAATAAAAGGCGAAGAAGTGGAGATGGAAAAATAACTCTTCAAATGGCTATGAAGAAAAGCAGATAATTTAGATATTAGTTTGAGGTATGCAAGGACAAGAGGAAATTATTGTTAATATTGGAATCTAGAGGGCCTCTGTAGCCTGAAGGAATGATCAAGTAAAAAGTGAAATCTAGATGATTCAAAAGGTAAGGGGGTAAATTATTTAAAAGTTTGTCTACATAGGGAACTCTTAATGTTCTAAAATGCTGTGTAAGCGAAGCATAGTTAAAATGAGACATTGTGACCATGAATTTGCATAGCCCTAGGTTTTCTTTTCCAAGCAGAAAGAATAGACATTAGGAGACATAAAAAATCTGTAATATTCCTGGAATAATCTTTCTGACATTGAAAAATGTAAGGCAGACAGAGCAAAATATGTGAGTATAGATATGAGACCACAGAAAATAATTTGATACAATTTTTCATTTCTTCTTGAAATAATTTGAAAGTTATCCTTTTGAGTTTCTTAATCATAGAAAGTATTCTGGGTCTACTGAACTACCAAGAGCTTATGAATGCATGTGGAACAGAGGTATGACCAGAGTCAAAGGTTTTCTATTTCTTCCTTGATGTAAAACCCTGCATATCCATTTCTTCCTGCTTTTTATCCAATCATAAAATGTTGATTCTAATGATAGAAGCAAAATTAGAAAATTATGATTCTAAGTTATATTAATGAACTTAAAATAGTCCAGTAAAAAGAAAAAAAAAACTTGATAGGTTCTACCCCTGTTCACCAAAGTCTGGCCCTTCTGCATTTCTGGGCTCCAGCAATCCTCCTGCCTCAGCCTCCCAAGTAGCAAGGACTACAGGCAGATCATTCCCCCTTGAATTACACAGTGTGACTGTTTTGGTCAATCTAATGTTAGGAGGAGTGAGGTATCTTATTTCTGATGGAAAGCAATGATCCATTATTCAGCCTGACTCTTCCCTTGCTGCAGCTAGTGTGAAAGCTTATATTGCTGTGGAGGTACCATAAATTCAGAGCAAAAGCACATCTTTATTGAGGTAACCCAGTGAAAATTTGGAGTTGTTACTACAGCATAACCTGAACTATTTTGAATGAATTAAGAAGCTAAAGTAGAAGGACTAGCAGGAAAATTAAACCCCAGAAGAAGTAAAGGAAACTGGGTAGAAGAAAATCTAAATCTTCAAACTATCCCTAAGCCTTAGGAAGAAAGGAGTTGTGTGTGAAAGAAATTGTAGAAAGTGCTATGTCATGGTATAGCTCAGTTTATGTATTCCTTTCTAGTGGAACTGGGTTTGAAGGTTATTTCAGTTTCTTCGCAAAATTTTACCTCATTTAAAAAATTTTTAAATATTTTAGTTGCCCTGGGACCAGAAACCTAAAGTTGAGGATTTTGAGTCTTAAAATTAGAAAACAGATTATGACTTTGAAAGGTTTCAATTTTTTATCTTACAAAACTTACAGTGACTAAAAAAAGGTAATTAAAAATTAAATAGCTGGTCTTGATTCTTAATTTTTTAAGAAAATGCAACTTGTCTTTGGTCTTTTTATGTTTATGTGTTGCTTTACCATTTTATTTCAGGGATCTGGGTCTATCTTACACGAATTTCCTATGAAGAGAGGCTTACATTTTATAACTGAAATTACTCCCACCAAGTGAGCTTAAAAACCCATTTTTCATGTTTAGCAAGACACTCCTGCATATAGCAATGAGAAAAGATTATTTGTCAGTGAATTTCAAGCATGTCTTTAGAAAAGTCTCACACAGTGCCTTTCTTGTGTCCTTATTGACTTTTAAATATTAAGTCATGCGACAATACTGTTTTTACTCCAAGGGTCAGGTGACAGAAAACAATAAACTGGCTAAAAGTAATAAAGCGCTATTAAATAAAATCAAACAAGAAAATATAGCTCTAAAATTCAGGCTACCACTTTGTCCTTACTTTGGCTTGCTTATGGGAATTTATTGAAGAAGCTTTTTAAACTTCATCAAAAAAGCCTCATAGCAGTTAATGATAGTGTGAGGGAGAAGAGGTTTTGCTATGTTTAAATTCCATTAGAGCATTGTGGGTTTTCACTTCCTTAGTGGACCTTTTAACTTCCGAAGTAAATCCTTTGAGGTTTAAGCTTATTTGCTCTCAGCAATAATATGGCTTCTGTGACAAAAAAAAAAGTAATACCATAGCAATTTTTACAGCATGCACTTGTGAAATATCTTCCTATCATGAATATATAGCTGAAAGGTATCTTCAAATTAAATTGTATGATATGATGTGTAAGTTTAAGTTTTTAATGAAATGGAATACAGCTATACTGAGTATTCAATCAATTGCAATTTTTAAAATTTCACTTAAAGGAAGAAACACAAATTAATAATAAATTAACTCATAACAGCAATATGATTAAAAAATCATGAGTAATTTCAAACCTTATAATTCTTTCCCAATGTTTCTGCTAGATTTTAATATAATAGGGATTAAATTCTAGAGCCACATGCAAGAAAAGCATGTTTAGACTACATAGGGTCTTTGATAAATACAAAGTAGATAAATTCATGATTATATGAGATAGAATGCATAAAATAATTTTATTTCATTTATGATAATTTTATTATGTATAATCAAAAATTACACAATCAAAACTTTTCTTAAGGATTACATCATTCTAATTCACTAATTTGACTCTGAAGCTTCTGGTTAGACATGGACCATTGATTGATCACTGACATTTATCTCCTCTTTTTATGAAAACTCACTAAAATAGGAATTCAAAATACATAAAAATCTATAAAGTCCAATACAGCAAGAGAGAAAATAACATAAAGAGAATATGGTTCCTCACTTAGCGGATTTATAAAAAAGTACCTGCAGGGGGCATGCCTGACACAAAATAGAATTGTTTCCACAGCTCCTGGGAACATAAGTTATTGAAAAAGACATAGCTAAAATGGGAACCTGAAAACAGGAGGTTGTGTAAGAGGCTGTATTGTATTATATTGACTCCTCACTCCCAGGTCCCTTTCTTACAACCAATCCATCCCTCAACACTAAAGTTTTATTTTCTAAGAAAACTCAGTACATGAACTACAAGCATAGAAGAGGACAGGGCCAGGCTTGGGACTATAACCAGCCTGAGTGAAAAGCAGAACTCAGGTCCCTTTCCCCATTCTGGGAATAAACGAAGCAATCTGGTATTTATTTGCACAGCAGGAAATTAGGAGACACCACTAAGGAAAGACAGAGTCATTGCAGCTCATCCCACAGTAAATGGCTTCAATCAACAAAGCCTTTACAGAGAGCTTCCAATCAGCTTCAAGTGTTTCACTTTTAAATGTAATGGAATAGTAAAAGCTTACCCGATATTTGAGGAAAGCCACCAACATGAAAAGTGAGCGACCAAAACTAACAAAAAGTGGAAAAATGAGAAAAGAAAGCCAATGGAGAAAGGAGAAAATAAAGCAAAAACAAAACAAGACTAATTGTCATATTAAGATATGAGAACATATTGCATACTTTAATAAAGTGGTCTTCTCTAAGAAGAATAAAAGAAAAAAGCAAGAAGACATGGATAAAATAAAAACATGTAATTAATGGGTTGGATAGTAAAGTTGATAACATTTTCTATCATGATCTCAGGTCAGAAAAATGCATCCTGCAAAGCAGTACACACAAGACACAAGGAAGAAAAGGAGAGTTGTGGTTCAATTCGGCCATTTTTCTCTTTGGAGACCTGGCACATAATTTTGATATGCATTTGATTGTAATGCATATCAAAACCTAACTGATAGTAAAGATACTTAAAGTAATCATTAATCATTGAGGAAACTAAGATCAGATTTGCTGGTATTTTATTTATTAGACATTTGCATCTATATGCATTAGCGAAATAAGGTTAAAGTTTCATTTTTATTTTTATCAGATTTTGATATAAAGGTTTGTAAATGTTTTTAAAAAATTTTTTTAACAAAATGTTTCTTATATTCTGGAAGATTTTGCACAGACTTGGAATGTCCACACAAACCTAAAATATCTGCTATAAAATCACCTGTGTTCAGAATTTTAAAAAGTTATTTATTTCACTCTTTTCATTTTACTATGATTATTATTTTGTTGAAATCATGTTTTGTTTTTAGAAGATTTTGGTAAGGATGTAATATTCTCTATATTTGAAAACCATACTTGTGTTTTTATCATTAGTCATAAATATTCCTAGTTGTGTGGTGATTTAATTAAACTTGTAAAAGCTTTATATATTTTATATTTTGATTATATCTACTAAAGAAATATTTTTTGGATTAATTTAGTTATTCTGTGGTTTTTTCTTTTTCTAGTTGATAACATTTGTCTTTAACTTGCCTATTTCTCCACTATTCGTTTTTTTTTTATTTATCATATCCTACTTTTTTTTCAACTTCTTAACTTGATGTTTAATTAATTTAATTCATTATTTAAATGTAAGCATTTCACTTTATAAACCTCAGAAGCCAATGTGGATACATCCTAAAGCACTTAAAAGTATTCCCACTTTCAGTAATAATCTCTAGTTGTTTTAGAATTTCCTAACTGAGCAAATTTTTCAGAGGAATGTTGATTAATAATCAAATGGATGTTTTATTTGGTTTTTGCTCAATTAATTCATAATTTTATTACCTTTTGAAAGAACATGTGGCTGAAGTAGTTTCTATTTATTGGAGTTTTCTGAGATTTTCTTCATGATCTAATATATGACTGTGATCAGGGAATAATTTTTAAAACTAAGAGCTATCCTACATATTTGGCTATGTTAAATGTCCTTTCAACTCTCTATATTCTCATTGTGTTTGTGCTGATGAGAGTAGGCAAAAGCAGAGATTGTATTTTCTATTTATTTTTATGTAAACTATATTTTTACATAAGAAGTATGGATACTTACATATATATATATATATATATATATATATATATATATATATTTACATATATTTTGAAAGATTGTGAGTGGTTTGTTAATGTCCTTTCCTGTATTTCCTTCAATTTGTATTTGTATTTATAAGAATTTCCAGGCCAGGTGCGGTGGCTCATGGCTGTAATCCCAGTACTGTGGGAGGCCGAGGCGGGTGGATCACGAGGTCGGGAGATCGAGACCATCCTGGCTAACACGGTGAAACCCCGTCTCTACTAAAAATACAAAAAAATAGCCGGGCATGGTGGCGGGCGCCTGTAGTCCCAGCTACTCAGGAGGCTGAGGCAGGAGACCGGCTTGAACCCCGGAGGCGCAGCTTGCAGTGAGCCGAGATCACGCCACCGCACTCCAGCCTGGGCAACAGAGCAAGACTCCGTCTCCAAAAAAAAAAAAGAATTTCCTTCATATATATTTAAAGTTATGTAGTTCAGCAAAGCCTCTTTTCTATCCAAATTATAGACTTCTTTAATTTGCCTTGAAATATACTTCATTATTTATTGCTTATTACTGTTATTAGTCTTGCATCTTTTTGTTTGAACTTCTCTGATAAAATTTTGCTCAGTTATGTATTATTTGCCAACATTTTACATTTTATCAATAATGAATATATGGATCTTGAATTCCAATAAGGTTTTATTTTTTAAAATGTTTAATTTCTTTTATAACTTTCATTTTATTTTGTTTTGTTTGTTTTATGATTTCTATTCTCGATGCTCCTAGTGTTTTGTTTTTACTTTATGGACTATGTTTTATTTATATCATTTTTTAACTTTCTAGAAAAGTTGGGCCCTGTGCCTAATATTTTAAATTTCTCTAAGGGTGATTTTATGGCTATGCTAATTGCTAAATGCTTATGCTAATCTGATTTTTTTTATTACTTTTAAGAATGAGGTAAGATCTTGTAATACCTTTGAGAATTGAGATTGCATTTAACTATGAATAACTAGAAATTTAATTACAATTACATATAAAAATACTTTATCTTTCTTACAAACGAATAAATCTGGAATCAGTTCATTGCTAGCACTAGTTAAGTAAAAGGGGCCAAGTTCTCCAATGTTGGCTTGGCCTTTCCCTAATAGTCTTAAGATGTTGGTTTAAGTTCAAGTCCTGAGAAAGCTCTGGACAAGGTAAGAAGACAGAGTCATCCAAAGATTTAACAGGAGCATCCCCTTGTCTGAAAGGAGGTAGTTGCTGGCATTATCTTTTGCTTACAAAAAAAGATGAGCATCTTTTTCTTGTTACCTTTTCCCATCTTCTTCCTAAATTGATTTTTAAATTCTAATTTATTAGATTTATGTTTAGAGAAAATTCAGTGGTTTGTTTTTAACCTCATCTTTCAGAATTCATTTCTCTGATTTAATATTTATGTTAATTTTTACAAAATTATAATAATCATTTAGACAAAACGTAGCTAAATATTCATGTGATGTCTTCTAGTTGTTTCTTTGCTAAATCTCTGGTGAATTGTGATGTATATTTTATATATTTTATTGTATTAATACCATCATGTTACTTTTTCAAATTTTTGAGTCTCTTTTTTTTAGTCTTTAGAAAATTTTCTTAATGTTGAAAAACTAGAATGGTATTCCACTATTGAATTTTGTTGTTGAGAAAACTTCGGCCAATATGATTTTTGTGTACTCATAAGTAACAATTTTTTTGTTACTTGCTTTTCAGTAGCTGGTTTTTCTATCTGGATGTGTATATATTATTTTATATTAATTTATTTTTACACAAAAAACATACCTTTTAAGGGTGTTGATTTATGTTTACCAATTTTGAGACATCTCAGTGAGTCATTGGCATTTATAGGTTTTAGTAATTTTTAAGATCACTGTTTTTTTCATCTGTTCTAGCTTGAATATTGCATCTGCTCCACTAGCTGTGGTTATTTCTAAATACAATTTAGAAATATATTATATATATATATTTATCTCCTTGTTACCTCCACATTCTATGTGTGGCTCACAAGTTTTTCTTCAGTTTTCTTATTTATTTCTGCAGCATTAGTTCAGCTCTTCATGATTTATAAAGTTTATTTTAATATGGCTTTGGAGGTATTAATTTCCTTATAATATTTTTCCTCCGATGTAATCTTTCAAGCGTTTTAGTAATTTTCCTTTTCAGTTTAATTTGATATTTTATATTATTTTAATTATAACCTCCTTTTTGACACATTCTCAGAAAGTTACACCTCCAAAAATTAAAATTATATAATTAAGATTACACCTTTCTTATTACATTGAACTCAAGTTCCACTTCTTTTATGTTGTAGAATCTTTTCACTTGCAAATCTTTGTAGCTGGACCAGTAGTCCACAGTATGGTTTTGTGTGGAGGCTGCTGCCAAACATAGATGACAGTAGCAAAGCTAATCAGACCCGCCCCCCACCCCCGCTTATGCCCTATCACCACCCAGGAATTTAACTGTGAACGTGGGAAATATTTTCAAGTTTTTTAAAGTGCCAGTGGGAAAAGAGAGACAATATTAGAAGAGATAAATGAGTAATTTTAAAATTAAAAGAGAAAATTAGAGACCTAAGAAGTACTGTTTGTAATATCCTTAGAGATACTGTCTTGAATTCAGTACCATTGCTCTATTACAGTTTCTTTCAGGAATGACTATTAGGTTTCTGTAAATTTTCTTTTTATGTGTTGTTCTACATACATTTTTACAATGCAGACTTCTGTCCCATGTTGGTTGAGTTAGTTTTATTCCTGATTATTTTTGCTTTGGCATTATGATTAGAAAGAACACTCACAACCCAAAGTCTAAGAATACTTACTAACATTTGCTGATACACTTGCTGATATTTCTGTAGTTTCAGGTTTTTCATCCTTAGTAAATCTTTATTTATTTGGCCATATGATAAGGTGGTATAACGTAACCGTTTTTTCTGTTTAAACAACTCACAATTGCCACAATTCTTTAGATTGGCACATCGTACCTCATAACTTATATGCATTATATATTAATATCATTACTAATACTAAGTAATTGAAATCGAAAATTGGTTGAACTCAAGATGTTTGAGGAAAGGGCATCGTACATTATTTTCTGCCTGAGATACTTTTTCTTACAAGATGCATTTCTAAGGTCACAGTCTTAAAATAAGCTCTTTCTACTAGATTAAATATAACTTTTAATTGTAGTGGCATTCATACAGTATCTCTAATCAGAACTGTATCTTAGGTTTATACAAATGTGCTCTAAACATGCAGCTTTAACCTCTACTGATTTCAAGGACCCTGTCATTATGCCATTTTCCAGGGTGAGGTGATTTCTAATTACTGCACATCCTGATGTTTAATTTCATGTGATAAGCTAGAAACTAATAAATGAATGGTGCTGTTTATCTCCAAGGACACACTAATTTGAATAGAATGGCAGGAAAAAAAAACACTTAAGAAATGACAAACGTGAATTTCACAAACAAGATATATACTTAACTGGGGTTTATCTGTAATTTCCTGACAACAAAAAGTAAAACAAAAGCCTCTTGACCTTTCAAAACTCATAAAAAATAAAATAGGCAAAAATGAAAATGACAACCATTTTGCTGCTGGTTTATATACAGTATTTTTCTTAAATCACAAAAATGAACAAATTTATTCAAAATATAATTTAATATATTTTAATATATTTAATTTACTCATTAAATATATTTTGTGATTATATTTATGAATAATATATTCATAAATATATATGTAAATAATATATTCATAAATATATTATGAATACTATATATTCATGATATATTATGAATACTATACATTCATAATATATTATGAATACTATACATCATGATATATTATGAATACTATACATTCATAATATATTATGAATACTATATATTCATAAATATATTCACTAAATATATTTAATATATTTAATTTATTCAAAATATAATTATAATTTTAAAATGAGAATTTAAAAATATTTAAATGAACATGCAGAGTTAAATTGAAGCACATCTTTTACTATATACCTATTTTTCAAAATTATTTCTTCAATTTTCCCTGTTCTATTTTTTAAAAAAAGATAAGATCTGCTGATGCTTAATGAATTTTAAATATATAGCTAGTTGTGTATCTGTGCATATTTATCAGCAGGATAACGAAGGGTTAACAAAACACCTCTCTACTTTGTGTCGTGTACATTTGTGAAGTGCAGGTGTGCTATTTCTGTTGAAGGAGTTAGAAGTGGGTTGCAAGCTGGCTAAAGAAATGTACATTACATTCAAAAATGGCTTTATATTCCCTGGCTGTTCACTCTTTTGAATGCAAAAAGTAGTTTTTGCTAACTCCATTTTGCGGCTCATGGAAAGCTGAAAAATCAATAGCTTCAGGTTGATGAAACCTAAATCCATTTGATTCCTTTCCACCATTGCCATTATGCAGACAGTCAAGTGTGATGTATTTAGTTCATGCAGTACTTATTACTCTCAAGCACAGCTTCTCATCAGGGAAAAATTAGACCAGATGAGAAGTAATCAAGAAATTCTGGAGAGGTTTCAAAGATCTTCCTTCTAACTGCTTCCTTAAAAAAAAAAAAAAAAAAAAAAAAAAAAAAAGTCTTGCTCTCTCAGTCTTTTGGAAGAAAAAAAATAAACATCTCTACACTCTACCATAAAGCTCTAGAAAGTTCTGTACAATTGCTTCATGTCACTATTTTCTAACAATAGATAATACTAGCTGAATAAATGCCAAATTAAGGAATTTTTCCCCTTACTAATGGTACCAGAGCCATCACTCTGGCAGAACTAATGCCAAAGCAAAAATAATCACAAATCAATCAGGAATCAGAACAAATAAAAAAACTACTTAAACTGATTTGGGTATTTCATTTTTACTGAATTGGCTATTTAATAGAAAAATAATGTTAAGTGGTTGTATAATCAAAAGGTTTAGAAGATTTGGCAACGGATTGCAGTGGTTCAAATCATACTCCTGTTAATTAGTAGCTTTTTTATAAGTCTTAAACACATTATATATCTTTCCTCTCTAATTATGAATTTTATCATATGTAAAAGGGAATTATAGCAGAATCAACCTCAAAATTTTGGTGAGAGAATGAAATGAATAATCAGTATAAAACGTTTAGCATAGTAAATATTCAATATGGATTAGTTGTTAATCTCTTACATAGCAATAATTATATTTGAATATCTGGCACCTCTTTTCTATTTTAGCAATGTTTTGTGACATTCTCATTGAAATTTATAGATACCTAACTGACAAAATCTCCTATACCATCCTGCAATAATGGAAATATTATAAAAATTATTGAATGATCATCTAGGCCAGCATCCTATTTTAGTGTTTGAATCCCTGAAGTGTAAGAGAGTCTAAGTGATTTTTCTGAAGTCAAACATCTACTCTTGGTGGAGATCCAAGATTAGGATTTGAGTGTTCTGATTTTTTGAAAGTGTTTTCTTCAGTTTATTTTCACATCTGTGTGTACAACCAAGACTTGTTTTTCGGACAGGAGTGGAGTAGACAAGTTAACTTCCAGATTGCATATACTAGAATTTAAGATAAGAACTTGATCACTAGACTGTGCATAAAGATTATTCTTTCTAGAAATAGTGCAAGTGCCTGACCACTTGGGATGAGTTAGTAGTTGGCAAATATCATTGTCTCCTTGACCAATGGGGTGAGAGCCATGATGATAAGAAAAGCCAACTGGAAGGTACTGAAATCCCAAGCAGACAAGATAGTCAAATAAAGCAATGTTGAATCTCAGGAAGAAATTAATCTACCATCATAAACCTTTAGGATGTTGGAGATGTGGTCGCTAGTATTTTTATGATCAATTCAACTGTGTTGATTTTGCACAAACCAGATAGTTTGTAACAAAAGATGGTGGATTATCATAATTTTAATCAAACATGAGCCCCAATCACTTTTGCAGTTCTAAATGAGGTACTTTTACCTAAAGATATCAAAACAGGCTTGGAAACTTAGTGTGCTTCTATACATATAACAAATGTATCATTTTCACTATTAGTTGAGATGAAAAAAATTGCCTTTTGTGACAAGAATAGGAGGGCAACAATTATTTTATCTAAAGGATATATTAATTTTACTTTTGCCTGTTCAAAGATAATATGAAGTACCTCAATTTGGTGTTCTGCAGAATTTCACACATTTCATGATTACATGATGAAAAATTGGATCTAGTGAGTAGGCAATGGTATATATTCATTATGCCATGCTAGGACATGTAAATGACTGTCTATGTGAAATGAACTGTACAAAGATTCAGAGACATGCCATATTAATGAAAGGTTTTAAGGGTTGCTCAGCTAGGATGGCTGGTACAAAATGGGGGACTGGTGGAGTTTGTCCAGAATTTAAGAGATTCACTGAATTGTCTCTTTGCAGTTCTATGCCTGGTGACAGTGGTGAGCAACAATTTTAATGACAGTAGCCTAACAAGGGAAAGACAACAAAGAGCTTAATTTTGTGAGATGAAAGAAAAATCAACCCACCATGGAAACAAGCTAGACCAGCTGAATTGCTGATCCGGGCTGAAAAAAATCTAGGATGTATAGGTGAAAAAGAAAAATGATAAATATAACAGTGGAGATTATAGTTTGTTTCAGTGACCATTGTATATAGTCTGCTGTGCTATATACAAAACGAGGCCAGCAATCAATTTGAAAATTCAATGCGATAAAAGACTAAAATGATGTAAGTGGTAGACGGTATCTGATGCCTCAGTTACCCCACCATACATCTTCCTTGCCTCACATATAATTGTACCTCTGGTTTCATGGATAATTCTGCATGTGTTTTGAGATGCCTGGTCTTAATAGCATCTTGTTGTCTGTGTCACCTTTTCTCCTGAGCTGCAGACGTAAATGGGTGTTACTTCATTATGCTTCATAGTAATCCCAAATCAAAGGGAAATTAATGCCCTTGAGAACAACTCTTAACTCTTAAAGTGGTGGTAGCAGCAGATGCATTAAACCTTAGGTGGGCAATTCTAGGAGACATTCTGCACTCTCCTTTGAATCTCCCAACTGAAATGAAGCCTCAGTTGCTCACAACAATGTGTATTATTACAAAGTGACTAGATTTTCCCCCTTACCTCCTTCCTCCTTTCCTCCTTTTCCTCCTTTCTTCAGTTCTTCAAGTATGGAACAAGGATATATATGCAAGCTGCTTTTAGGAAATAATCTCAAGCAGCTTGCATATAAATCTTTGTTCCAAGCTCTACTTCAAGGGTTCCCCAGTCTAAGATATCTTTTGTTCAGTAAATCTTGTTTTATTTTATTAAATCCTGCTTGGCTATGAGAAATATATTTTTGTTAGAGCAATTACAAGACAATTTCAATTGATAAGTAAAATAATTTCTTTCCATTTTATGATCCAGGATAGCTCCTATTATTTTTTCCACATAACTATCTTTCATAATCAATTTATATACATAAATTGGTGAAAGTTAGGCAAATTTATAAGATTCATTCTCTTTTTATGAATCACTACTATACATTTTAAACCAAGTTTCTTTCTTCCCTTGGTAGCTAGTTCCACCCATACCACTACCTTCTTTAGTGTAAAAATGACTCTGTCTTTGAAATTAAAAAATATATATAAATATTTGTAAACATCATAAATAAATTACGGAATAATAAAGAAAAGCCCACTGCTTACAATTGTAGCTCAGGCAGTATGGGGAATTAGATTAGGGAACCTGGGTGGTTTTCTGTTTGAATAATATATTTGTAATGGTATTACATTTAGTAGGATTAGACACATATGATAATTGTTAAATTCATACACAAATTGACTTTAGTTACCTCTCATGGTGCATTGTTACTGGAAACACTCTTAATATATTTTGAATCTCTGTGGCATGTATTCATTAGCTTCTTTTATTGCATTATAGAAAACCAGAAATGCAATTTATATCAATTTGCTTTCCATACTTCTTAAAAAATTTGAATAAACACGAAAAAGTACTTCTGAGTTCCTGTATTGTATACTGTAATAGGGATATATGCCTATACAGATCACTTATTAAATTGTCTAACACTTTCAGATAATTCAGTATAAAATTCAGTACAAAATTCTGCATGTAAGACTACCATTTCCTGCCAGATTTACAAATTCACATATTCTAGAATATTATTTATGAATATATATTTACACACATACCTCTTATTTTCTTCTCCACACTTTGGAATTTGGAGGATGAGTTGTGGAGAATAAAAAAAAAAGTGGTGGGAAGAAAACATTTACTTGTCTGTGTTTATTCTCTGCTGGGTCTTAGTCGGCAAAGCTACCTTTGTAGTAGGTCCTCTTTTCTTTTATCCTTCTTTGTTGTTCTTTCAAACAAAATTTGGAGATGTTACCCACTTTGTCCCAGTTTCTGATTCTGGTGAAATCAAAATTCAAATCTTTCTGTCGTTTTAAATTTTAATATTTTCGTGACTATTTTTTTCCTTTTTTGGATGGATTACATTTGGTTTTTGCTTCAACAAATTTCTTATTTCGGATTTAGGTACACAATGATTTGTTTGTGAATTGATATCTTAGACAGTCTTCTGTTGCCTAATGTATTTCATTCCCTCTTTTCACTCTCCAATAAATACATTTATCATATTATGTTAATGAAAGATAGGCTTCTCCATAACTTTCTAGACTGTATGTACACCGAGAGAAAGAACATCATAAGTTGGATAGTAATGGTGTACATGAAAGACACATAATTATTAAAGATTATTAGTAAATGTGCAAAATCCTATGTCCTTTATAGTATACACTATATATTTGTTTCTTTAATATGCTGCACATATTTGCTAAAGATATTTATTTTATACCTATACTTATGTATTTACCTCATAACAGTTACTTAGGTAAAATATTCAAAAATATAATTTCACTTTAAACACTGAAATGGCCAAAAGTTGAAGAGATGCAAGAAAAAGGAATACATTGCATATTATGAGAGAAAATTTTGAATTAACAATTTGAAGAAAATAATATATTGAATCTATATTATATGACTCTATACCAGTCAAATTAAATACTTTTAAAACCAGACATGGTTAACTATCACTCTACTTGGTTAATTATTCTTGTCCAAAGACATGATTTCATATGGAACTATATAGACTATTGTATTCCAAAGGTAGGGATTACTGAAAGGCCAACAGACACCTAAAAGTGATCTTTTGCCTTTGATGCTTCTACATTTAAATTACATGTGCTATTATTAGCAAAGAGGAATTTGGCAAATTATGAAGCTCTTTCAACCCTTGCTAATTAATTCCATCCATTTGCCAGATATTTCCATATTACCAAGAAGTTCTTCCAAAGGCCTAATATTAAATTGTTGTGGTCTAGGACAATTTTTTCTTAACTGTTCTCTGGTTTGTGACAGATATTATGTTATTAATAGAATATAGCATTTGATTCTTATATTATTCCATACACTACCAACTGGTTTACGAAGGAGACCACCAATACAATTCTATTAAAGTCCCTGTCACTTTGTTTGCTATTTAAATTGTTTCTATATTGAATCAAGTTCCTTTTATTAATTAAATATAAATTATATTCAGTGGTAATTAAATATTTCAATTATTAATGCTTAGATTTTAACTTTTTTCATCTTTTACATGAGAAAATGACTTGTTTTATAAAGTTCAAGATTTAGCAATTATTTGTAAACTGTTACTAAATATATATTTTAAAAATACTAAATTGTTCTTTCGATTTAATTTGAATTTTTGATTTGGTTAAAAAATCTGAGCAATGCTGATTTATTTTGCCATCCTTCCATTAAGTCAAGTTTTTTTGGTTTTGGTTTTGTTTTCTTAAAAGATGGCTCCTACAAGATAAGACATTTCTTACATGGCCTAATCTGAAGTAAAAATCGCCAAATTGTATATATCACTTTGAGATATTTTATGGTGTTGCTTGTCACATTGCTAGATAATTAATGCCACTATTTCATCATGTTAAGTTTATAAAACAAATTATTTAACATAGCTGTCACCAAAGCTTTATCTATTTTTTTCAGTTCTTCCCTGAAGAAAACCTTATTAATTTAAATCTATGTGAATTCATTAATTTACTTGTTTGTACTTCTCTAGTTCGAATTAACTGTATTTCTACTAAGGGCAGGAACCATCCCTTAATTCATTAAGTAATGTCTGTATCTTACTCAACACAGGTTAGTGTGAACTCAAGCCATAGAGTAAAGGGACTGTATAGTATTATTGCAGAAGTAGGGAATATCCTCTCAATTTCTTATATATTTCAGCTTTTATGATCTACTGTTGCTTTATCCTTAATTTACAAATATCCCCAAGTAAATCTCATCTGTAAATCTTCTTTCTGGCCCATGTTCCTTTGTATAAAATATTGTGACTCACTGCTTTAAAAAGCATCTGTATTTACTGTCTCTTCTAATTCCTCATTATTATTCCTTCCACGTGGCTAACCTAAGGGCACATTTTCCATTTGTATTAATTGGCCTCTTTCGTGAGTGAGAATCCTGACCACTCTTGCTCCTACAGCAACATTCTACCCTCAGCTTAGCCTGCTTCTCTAGGGAACCCCTTTCAGTCTTTCTCATGAGCTGCTCTTCTGTTTCCTTTCTAGTATTCTGGAAGCTTTTCTGGCTCTGGGGATGTCATGCAATCCTCCCACGGTCTTAACATGACTTGGCCTGCCTTCTGCCCAGTTCTACAGGCCCTAATTTAACATAATTTTTCCCTCACAACTGCCTCTCTTTGTTATTAATACTTTTGATAAATTGCACCACTTCACATTCAATGAGTCTCCAAGTCCAAATGACAGTCCCTGTGATGCTTAATTTTATGTGTCAACCTGGCCAGGCCATGGTACCAAGATATTTGGTCCAACACTGTTCTAGATGTTTCTGTGAAGGTATTTTTTGGATAGAATTAACGTTTATATCAGTAGAATTTTAGTAAAGAGATTTACCTCCATAATGTGGATGGGCCTCATCCAATCAGCTGAAGACCTTAGAAAAAGACAGATCTACCCTGAAAAATACAGAATTCTGCAAAAGTCTGCCTTCAGACTCTAACTTCACCATCAACTCTCCCCTAAGTCTCAGTCTGCTTGTCTACACTGTAGATTTTGGACTTGTCAGTCTCCTTAATTGAGTGAGCCAATTTCCCAAAATCAAGAGAGGAAGAAGATAGATAGATAGATAGATAGATAGATAGATAGATAGATAATAGATAGATAGATAGATGTTCTGTTGGCTTTGTTTCTCTGGAGAACCCTGATTAATATATTTCCTAGATGCCTCTGAACTATGTCCCTCCATTCTATATTGAACTGTTTTTTCCACATTAAATCATATCTCATTTGTTAATTGGAAAAAAACCCTGTTGTATGAACTTTAAATTTATCAATTAATAAATTTAAATCTCAAAATAGTTTGATAAGTTAGTAATTATTGTTTCTATTTTACAGGTGTAGAAACTAAGGCAGAGTTAAGTAACTTAGCAAAAGATGGCACAGTTAAAATTCAATGCAGGCAGATCTAGTTTCAGTGTTGGAGCTCTTACTCTGCTAGCATGTCGTTTTCACTGATTATAGTTCCTCACTCATTTCACCAGAATAAAACAAGAATGTTTTTTGTGGTCTCTAACTTCTGTCAGAATTACTGAATTGATTCAAAAAAATACATTTTTTTTACCAAAAATTATGATTTTTACTAAAGCTTTTACTCAAATCTCTAGACTGACAGGCTGCTAAAAAAGCCCATTTTTCACAAAATTGGTGGCAATTATTTATTTCCTTTTCTATAGTTCAAAATCTGATAATAAAATATGAACTGAACTTCCTAAAACATAAACTCCTAGCTAGGAAGCATCCAGATTCATTCAATAATATTTATTTTAAAAGAGTATTATCTTATGCGATACTTTTTCAATGTGATTTCAAGTCTAGTATTTCCATCATTATGATATTTAAAAATATCCAACCTTTTCATGACAATATTGCATACATGGGAATATAAATGAGCAGCACATTTTTTGAGATGTACAATAAATTACATATAGACAAATGTGTTAAGCATTTCCTGTTTGTAGTGGTGGTTAAAAGTTGTTAATTCTTTCATTTACCCTAAGATCTTGCAAGATCCTGAAGCATCTCCAAAAACTAGTGATGATTTCTGGACTACTTTGGTCCAGATTTATTGTTAAAAGTTTTTTATATGAGTGAGTGTTAATCCTCTTTTTCAAATATTTTGAATAAACAGATTGTGAATATCTAATGCTGCTGAATTATAAAAATGGTAGAGATATTGTTAAGTGTGTTCAGCTCATTTTTCCTCCACTTTTCATTCATATATATTTGGAACAAAGATGCAAATCTTACCTACAAATCTAGGTGAAGTCATTAATGATTACTCCTCTTTTAAACCGTATTTGTATTTTTATTACAATTCCAAGTTAACCAATCTTTAGAAAGTTATATGACTGTTACTTTTCTAACTTTGACCATCCTTAGAAAGCATATTGCAAATATTCTAACATCTGTGAAAAACCCATATTTTTATGTTAAAAAAGATAAATTTGTCGGTCATAATAAAAACTTCAAAAACTCTGTTATACTAGGATTAAAGTTTTAAAATCTCACACACATATGTTAATACAGATAAGAACATTTAAATATTTATATTGGCACCCTTGAATCTAGAAATTCCTAGACTTCAAGAATAAAAATGAAAATAATACTTCATAATTTCCAAGTAAACTTATTTGAAGGTATGAATAGATGCATGGAAATACCTTCTAGAAATCAGAAATGCCCATGCTAATCTAAGAACCAGTTGAAGTTAAATAACTCTTTTCAAGTAGAAAACTTTCTCTAGTGAACAGGTTAAAATTTACATATCCGTTAACAAAGATGATAATAGAATACTATCATCTTCGTTGCTGCTAAGCCCCAGGCATAAGGGAATAACATAACTTGATTGTAAATGAAGCTACATTCTCTCAGATCTTATTAGTCTTTTATAGCTAATGTATATCTTTAAAATGAAAATTATCACAGAACAGATATTAAAGACCTGCACAAAATTTTGTCTGAAGATAAATCACCTCAATATTTTACATAATCTCTAATATATGTGCTTAACTAAGTTAAATACTGAATGGAATTTTTGGTATGAATACTTAACAGTCAGTTTGTGCAGGTATTGTTGCTTTGGAAAAGGAGACATTAACCGTAAACAATATACGTGGAGCAAAATTCAAACAAATAAATATCTTTTTGTGGTTACCTGACGTGAAGAGTGATTAATGAGTACTTGTGGCACCAGGCTTTTGATGTGGGGAGAATACATGCAGACACTCATAAGAAAAATATTTATCATAGGAAAGAGGTTAAAAATGTTGGTTCTGAAACTTGACTGGGTTATCATTATCAGTCTCACTTAACTGGTATTTGAACTTGGAAAATTACTTAGGCTCTGTGTACCTCCCTTTTTTTCTAAGAAGAAAAACACACATACACTATTATATAACACACATATACTACTGTAAGTGTATAGTAGTATACGTTTTTATGAACAATGACTAGCACATAGTAGATGACCCAGAAATGTTAGTTATCCATATGATAGGAAATGAGATATGTGAGGTTAATATTCAAATACTGATGATTTGTAACTTTTTTCAGTCTCTGCTATTATTAGTTTGATATTTGTATCCTAAAACTTTCCCAATATTCTGAATGATGTCTAAGAATTATAACATTGAAGTCAATTTTCCCAAAGAATGTTGTAATATTTCTTGAAACAAATGCCCCAGGTTATATTTAGCTCATTATTTGGGTGGTATTCATTATTTCATGTTGTATTACTTGAATAATACAGAAGGTTGGAATTGGAAGGAAAATTAGAGGTCATGATTTAACAAAAGAAGAAATCTTAGATTCAGATGAACATTATGAGCTTCTGAAAATCACCCAGCAGGGAAGTAAAAGATAGGAGACTGGAATTCAGGTCTTTTGACATTCAGATCTGTGTTTTTCTTATGCTTCCCTGTGCTGCTTCTCGGCTCTGAAATTGTAGTGCTTTTTAAATTTTCTTAAATATGTACATATTCATATATATATATATATATGTATTCCTTAGAAATGAGAAGTGCTATTATAATTTGTCAGGCTAATTTACATTCAGGCAGTCTTTTCTTAGCTTTCTGATTCTAAATAATCGTTATACTATTGAACAAATGATAAGGCATTTTTCACATCTCAGGATATAAGACCAATATTTCTAAATTTTTAATCATGCCCAGAAGAAATACATCAAAGGAATCAACTATTGTAATGATGATGACTTCAATTAAATATTTTGTAATCCAATAATGCATTTCATTAGAGTATTCTAAGAACTTTTCTGGCATTGTTACCATAATCTTCAGTGTTCCTACTTGGTATTTATTTCAGGACCTAAACATAATAAATAGAAAGGCACAGTCCCTACCACTAGATAACTTGCATTTGGTAGTGGAACACACGGCAGCATAATATGGGTTGACAAAAAGAAATATTTGCATCCAAATTTTACTACTGTGGATTAGTGACAGTTCAGTATTGGTTAATTACCAGAGAAAAGAAGAGAGAAAAACAAAGGAGGAATTATTATTATTATTATTTGGCTCTTGTAAAGCCAGACCACAGCTGTTGGTAAATATTAAAGCTGCTGCAATCTTAAATTAAGGTGAAATATTCACTTATTTTACAAAATACATGTAAGTAAGATAACAAATAGTAATTATGGCGTTTAAATCTGTTGAGCTGAGACATTTGTTAACAATAGTACTGGGAACTTGGTAATATTCTTACTACCCAAATTAATTCTCTTAAACTTAACCTCCATCTTATTTAACTCAGCATCTCTTTCTAAAAGATTCCCATTTAACAGCTCTGTCTTTGCTAGTCTAAACATGTGTTTTCTTTAGCAATGACTGTATTTGTTTAAAGATTATCCGTCAATGCCTGGTAAGCTGAGTGAGTAGATGGGCATGTGCTCACATCTCATTATTTTACAATCTGGTGGTCTCCTTAACAGATTCTTTAACATGTGAAGAATCAACAAAAAATACAACTACGTCTGATCTTTGTCTTAGGCAAAAGGATCCTGCTTGTCTTACTCATTATAGGAAAAAATATATATAATGTTCATGCTCATTTCCCATTTTTCTGTACCATGAGATGAACTCCTAAAATGGGAGAAAATAGAACTCATTCAAAAGCTATTGAAGGCAATACTATGACCATCTGGTGACTAGAATCTCTTTACCCATTTCTGTACAAATTGTGATTTGCCTGTACACTTATAATGCATCATTCTTTTATATTTTCACAGTTCTGTCTGGAGAGCATTTTTCTAAAGCGTAGCTTTCTCTTAACCACATAAATGTAGATCACAATGACAATGGCGTATCCTTTAATTTTAACTAATTATTAGTTGATAGCTATGATTTTGTCCCATTTAACAGCTAGAGACAAAAACATATACAGAGCTCGAATAACATGCTATTGATAACACCTCATTTTGGCATACAAATATTTCTTACTTTCTTAATTGGTTTTTCACCTTGACGTATCACTAATTGAAATGGTTCTGTTAAAATTGTCCACTATATTGGTCAATTTGTCAAATTCTTCCTCTCTTGCATGTGTATGTACACGTATATGTGTGTATGAATATATATGCATAAATATTATGTATTTTAAGGTAATTTTATTAGAAAATAATTGTTCAGAATTTTTATATTTTTGGTGGAATGAATCTTTAATCATTACATATATAGTGTTCATAATGTTTTCTTGATGTTATTCTATATAACATTAATAGTGTCATATCAGTTTTTTTGATTAGTATTTTTCTGGTATACATTCCATTTTTTTCCTCAGTAACATTTTTCTTATTTTAGGAAGGTCTCGTAAACATCATACCTTGATTTCCAAAAGTCCAATTTGACAATATCTTTCAAATGAAGAGTTTTTCTGAGCTTCTTCATCCACTTAAATCTGGTTCTAGCATTTATGCTATTTTCCCACATTTTCGGTGCTTCCTTCTACTTCCCAGTCTTCAAGAAAAACTATTAGGTATTGTTTGTATATTTATTCCTTTCATTCCATTTCTTCACATTCCTTTAGAAGCCGTATATTATATTTATTTTCTTATAGTGGTTATAATTTGTAAGCTATACTTAGTGTAACATATATATTTTAACATCCCTCCAAAAATATAAGGACTTTAAAATGCTTTAATTTATATCAGTAACTTGGAAAGTTCTGTCATTTTTATCCAGAGTTTTTTAAATTCCCCCGATATTATGAGTATTATTATTTATAAAGACAGATTTGACTAGATTTACCTATATTTATTATTTTTTCTCACTACTAGTATTATTTCTCCTAGTCCCAAAGTATATATTTTTAGAACTCTTTTAAATTTAGGTCTATTTTTATTTATTTTCAGTTTTTGCTGAAGTTTTTTATTTTAGCCATATTCTTTTAAATTTTTTTAAATTCATGAAATTCTAGACTTCTGATATGTTAATCTCTCATATTTTAAATATCTCATAAACCCAGGTTAACTATTTTTAACTTTCATTTTTAAAATTAATATACTACTGAAAGTTTAATGATTGTTCTTTTTAAGGAGTTTTCTTTTTTCTCTATTTTTAAGATACTCTCTTAAAAATATCCATCAACAGGCTGGGCACAGTGGCTTACACCTGTAATCCCAGCATTTTGGGAGGCTGAGGCGGGTGGATCATGAGGTGAGGAGATTGAGACCATCCTGTCTAATACGGTGAAACTCCCTCTCTACTAAAAATACAAAAAATTAGTGGGGCGTGGTGGCGGGCGCCTGTAGTCCCAGCTACTCGGGAGGCTGAGGCAGGAGAATGGCGTGAACCCGGGAGGCGGAGCTTGCAGTGAGGTGAGATTGTGCCACTGCTCTCCAGCCTGGGCGACAGAGTGAGACTCCATCTGAAAAAAAAAAAATCCATCAACAGATGAATGGAAAAAAAAAAGATGTGAGACATATGTGTGAGCACACGTGTGTGTGCATGCGTGGTCATGTGTGAGTGAGAGAGAATAGTGTTCAGCCTTAAAATGAAGGAAACCTTGCCATTTGGGATGATACAGATTAACCTGGAGGACATTATCCTAAATGAAACAAGTCAGACACAAAAAGATTACTGCATGATCTCGTGTATTTGTGGAATCTAAAATAGTCAAACTCATAAAAGTAGAGAGTAGAATGGTGGCACCAGAAACTAGTGAAAAAAGGGAATCAGTAGTTGTTGGTCAAAGACTACAAATTTTTGTTATGAAGATAAATACTTCTGAAGATCTAATGTACAGCAACAAAGACTATAGTTAATAATACTACATGCACGGTGCACTTGAAATTTGCTAACAAGATAAATCATGTCTTAACACACACACACACACACACAAAAGGAAGACATGACAGCCATGTGCGGTGATGGGTATGTTAATCAGCCTGATTGTGGTGATTGTTTTACAATGTGTGTGTGTGTGTGTGTGTGTATATATATATATATATATATATATATATATATCGAAATATCAAGCTGTACATCTTAAACATATACCATTTTTCTTTGTCAATTATATTTCAATAATGCCAAATAATAATGTTCCCTTAGATGTTGGTGTTTCCAATTTCATTTTGATTTATCTGCATGTGGGTTTTTTTATTCATCTTATTTGGTATATACTGCATTTCTTGTGCCTGTTGTTTTAGATCTTTCATCCGTTTTGAATAATTTTATTATTTCTCAAATATTGCTTCTCTTCTTTCAAGGCTCCACTTCTAAAATGTGGATGAATTACATGTATTTAGAATTTCCTATTCTTTTTCTTTCTTTCTTTTTTTTTTTTTTTTTTTGATGGAGTCTCGCTCTGTTGCCCAGGCTGGAGTGCAGTGGCGCGATCTGGGCTCACTGCAAGCTCCATGTCTCTAAACCTCTTTTTTTCTATCGTATTTATCTCTCTGAAGTTCATTTTTTAATTAGGTTTCTCAGAATTTTCTTTCAATTGAGTTACTCCTTTTTAGTTATACCTACTGTGTGCTTACTCCATATTTTTAGTGTTTTTCAACTTACAGTTTTAACTTAAAATCTTCCATTAAAAATGCCTATTGCTTACTTATTTATGAAATTCTATTTTCTATTCTTTAAATATCCACTCATAGGAATACATATATACACATTTCAGATAATTTTAATATCTGAATTACTGAGTAGTCTAAACCTGTTTTTTGTTGAATTAATTCTCATTCATGACATTTGGTTTGATTGAATATTAGCTAATTTTTTATATTGAGTCACATGTGATTGATCACAAATTCTGGAAACTGTGGATGCTAAACTGAATCTGTTTTTCACAGGAGATTTGCTCTTGCCTCTCTGTGATATCAAGTCCAATGAGGATTTCTGATATCTAGCTTCCCACCTTGCTACCAGCAATACCCTTAGAGCAACCCTTGCTTTTCTATTTGTTCACTGCTCACCAGTCTAGTTAAGATCACTTCTTATTGGCCCCATGGAGTTTTCTCTTCTTTGCTGTGAGCCTAAATTACAATGGCCGCTTCCTGCAAAAGCTGCAGCATGAGGATTCCTTACAGTATCTAGCCCCAAATGCTATATTTTTTACTTTCACAGTTTGCTTTTAATCAAGGAGTTGATAGATGGAAGTTTTGAGAATTGTTTAAATTCATCTATATAATGTTAATTATTTGATATTTTAATTAGCAAATATGTATGTATATGTTTTCATAAAGTTATATGGCCTTTTCATTAAATAAGATATAACAGATGTATAATGATAAAAAACACAGAATAGTAGTTATTTCTTCACTGTCATAATATTTCCTAAAATTTAATTTCTGAATCCATGATGTAGAAAATTTCTTTTCTTTTACCCCCATATACGCCTGATTAAAATTTATTATATTTGTTGTTTTAATAAAATAAGGCACTAAATTTCTAACAAATGCTTTGGAGAGTATTTATATAATAAGCAAGTCTTCTATCATATACTCCTTTGGTGAATGCAAGAATTTTTTTATTGGAGGTCATCAGCATCAGCCAAAAAAATCAATTCAAATCAAATCAAAGTGTAGCTGCTCACATTTCAAAATTTTAATATGATTAATATACTTACATTAGGTTTACTCTTAATATATAATTTAAATCTTTAAACAATATGTAGATAAATTTTAATACACAATTTTTACTTATACTTTTATCAAAATTACATATATTATGGAGCGCTTTTATCAAAATTACATATATTATGGAGCTTGAATATAATTTGCAATGCTTCCTTAATGTATAATATTATATATGTTAATTTCCATACCCATAGGATTCAGTCTAATATGATGTTTTATAGTGTAGGGGATAGAATGTATTTAAAATCCAGTATAACCCACATATTTTATCAGATAGCATTGACAGACCCCATCCAAGGCTAAACACATGATTTTTATTAATAAACGAATAAATAATCAATTATATTCAAAGGTTTTATATGAGAATAAAACTGTCTCTCCATATTCTGTGGGTTTCACATCTATGGATTCAAAAATCACAGATTGAAAATATTCAAAAATAATTAAAAAATAAAAATAGGGTTCCGGTTGAAGATGGCAGGCTAAAAGCAGCTAGTGGGTGTCTCCCTCGCTGACAAGAATCAAAACAGTGAGTAAATATTAACACTTCAAGTAGATCATCTAAGAGAGCACATGGAGTTTATCAGACAAACAACAGGAATCACAGAAAATAGGAGCGTGAAACCAAGCAGCCCTCTGAGTTTAGCCTGGCATGGAGCTGGGAGAGGAGCTGGGAGAATCTCCCTAATGCAGGAAAGGGATGAGTGAGTGACTCCTGGGGCTCCACACAATCAGAAATGATAAAAGTGAAATCATAACTGATACCACAGAAATACAAAAGATCATCAGAGACTACTATGAGTACCTCTACATGCACATTCTAGAACACCTACAGGAAATGAATAAATTTCTTAAACTATAAAACCTCCCAGTACCAAACCAGGAAGAAATAGACTACTGAACAGACCAATAACAAGTAGTGAGACTTAGTTGGTAATAAAAAAAATCACCCAGCAACAACAACAACAACAACAACAACAACCAAAAAAAGCCCAGGACCAGATGTATTCACAGCTGAATTCTACAAGAACCATGCAGAAGAATATGTACCAATCCAAAGTATTGCATATAATTGAGAAGTAGGGCTTCCTCTCTTAACTCGTCATCCTAAAGAACCAGTATTATCCTGATAACAAAATCAGGAAAGGACACAACAGAAGTAGAAAACTACAGGCCAATATCCCCAATTAAAATGAAAAAATCCTCAACTAACTACTAGCAAAGTAAATACAAGAGCTCAGAAAAACATAATACCTCAAGACCAAGTGGGATTTATCCAGGGATGCGAGGATGGTTCAACATATGTAACTCTATCACGTTCAATAGCTACAAAATATAAAATACCTAGAAATGTATTTAACCAAGTGAGTAAAAGATCTCTACAAGGAGAACTACATAAGCACTGATGAAAGAAATTGTAGATGACACAAATGAGAAAACATCTGATGCTCATGGATGGGAAGAATCAATACTGTTAAAATGACCATTTTTCCCAAAGCAATTTACAGGTTTAATGCAATTCCTATCAAAGCTCCAATATTTTTTACATAATTGTAAAAAAATTATAGAATTTATATGAAACCAAAAAAGAGCCTGAATATCCAAATCAATCCTAAGCAAAATGAACAAATTCGGAAGCATCACATTACCAGACTTTATAGTATATTATAAGGCTATAGTGAACAAAAGTCCATGGCACTGATACAAAAAAAGACATATAGAAAAATGGAATAAATATACAACTCAGAAATAAAACCACATACTTGAAACCAACTTATCTTTGGCAAAAGTAACCAAAATAATCAATGGAGAAAGGACACTTTATTCGATAAATGGTGCTGGGAAAACTGGGAAGCCATTTGAATGAAACTGGGCCACTACCTAACACCATATACAAAAATTAACTCAAGATGGATTGGAATCTTAAACGCTAGACCTGAAACTATGAAAATCCTTGGAAGAAACCTAGGGAGAATTTCATCTGCATATTGGCCTAGGCAAAGAATTTATGACTAAGTCCTCAATAGCAAATGTAACTAAAAAATAGAAATATGGGACTTAACTACAAAACTTCTGCACAGCAAAAGAAATAATGAACAGAGTAAACAGGGAGCCTGTGCAATAGGATAAAATATTTTCTAACTATGCATCTGAAAAAAGACTAGTATCCAGAATCTAGAATGAACTCAATTCAACAAGAAAAATAAAATCCCATAAAAAAGTGGGCAAAAGTCATCAACAGACATTTCACAAAGAAGACATATAAGTAGCCAATAAAAATATTTTAAAAATGCTCAACATTACTAATCATCAAATAAATGCAAGTTGAAACCACAATGAGATACCCATCATTTTACACCAGTCAGATGGCTATTTATAAAAAGTAAAAAACAACAGATGTTGGTGAGGATGCAGAAAAAAGGGAATATTTGTATGCTAGTTTGGAGGTAAATCTGTACAACCTCTATGGAAATCATATAGAGATTTCTCAGAGAACTAAAAATAAACCTCAGTTTTGACCCAGAAATTATACTGCTGAGTATCTACCCAAAGGAAAAGAAATCAATATATTAAAAAAGACACCTGTACTTGTGTGTTTATCACAGCACTATTCACAATAGCCAAGATACGGTATCAACCTTGATGTTCATCAATGAATGAATGGATTAAGAAAATGTGTTTTATATATATACATAATAGAATACTATGCAGCTGTAAAACAGAATGAATCATATATTTTGCAGCAACATGGATGGAGCTAAGGCTATTATTTTAAGTGAAATACCTCAGAAACAAATCAAATACTGAATGTTTTTACTTATAACTGGGAGAAAAAGAATGGGTACACATGTGCATAAAGATGAAATAATATTAATAGATACTTGAGACTCTTAAAGGAAGAAGGGTAGGAGAAGGTTGAGGGTTGAAAAATTACCTATTGAATTCAATGTTCACTATTTGGGTTATGGGTATACTAGAAGCCTGAACCTCACTATTATACAAAATATTTATGTAACAAACCTGCACATGTACTCCCTGAATACATAATAAAACAAATAAATAAATTACAATAACAATGCAATAATAAAAATAATACAAATAAAAACACAATATAACAATTGACACAGTATTTCATTAGGCACTATAAATAATCTAGAAATGATTTAAATTATACAGGAGGTTATACGCAAATACTATTCCATTCTATATAAGGGACCTTTGCATCCATAGATTTTGGTGTTTGGAGGGTACTAGAATCAATCCCATGATTATACCAAGGGAGGACTGTACTCTGCATCTTATAACTACACAATTTGGTGCATCCTAATACTATGATAATAGTTACAATAAGTGACAACTAATATTTATTGCTTTCTTTATCTTTTAGCTATTTGATTGTTAAAGAAGTATGTTAGAGACCCCTGATAACATTTATTACTTTATAGCACTGTAAAAAGGTAAGAATGGTCTTCACCAAACTGTTTTTAAAGTCAATGTTGAGTTGATAAATTATGTTGCTATCCTAGTAATTAAACTTATAACCAGTCTCCTTGATTTTTTAAGTATAAAGACATTATTTTAGCCTGTAGTGTATCTTTATATTTAAATACTTAAGGGTATTATTTTTCCCCTATAAAAATTCTATTCAGGTCTAGCAGAAATAAGAAAGGCATGTATAATTGATATAGTTTGGAAGTTTGTCCGCTCCAAATCTAGAGTGGGACATTGCTATAAATATGTCTGAAAATATGGAAGCCTCTTTGGAAGTAGCTAAGTAACAGGCAGAATTTGGAAGAGTTTGGAGGACTCAAAATAAGACAGAGAGATGACAGAGAGCTTGAAACTTGTTAGAGACTGGTTAAATGGTTGTCATCAAAATTCTGATAGAGACATGGCCAATGAAGTCCAGGCTGAGGAGTTCTCAGACAGAAATGAGGAAGTTACTGGGAATGGGAGTAAAGGTTACCTCTGCTGTGCCCTAGCACAAAGCTTGGCTGCATTATGTCCATGTCCATGCTCTGTGGAAGTTGGAACTTAAGCGTGATGATTTAGGGAATCCAGTGGGAGAAATTTCTAAGCAGCGAAGCATTCAGGATGTGAACTGACTGCTTCTAACAGGATAATATCACATATAAAAGGAAATAAATGACTTAAAGTTGGAACTTGTATGTAAAAAGGAAGCAAAGTTTAAAGGTTTGGAAAATCTACAGCCTGGCCCTGTGTTAGAGGAGGAATACAAGCAGGTTGTGGAGTAACCACTTGCTGAAGAGATTTGTGTAACTAAAAGGAAGCAAAGTACAAATATCCTTGAGAATGTAAAAAAAGCCTGAAGGGAATTTCAGAACTCTTCTAGGAAGCATCTCCCATCATAGGCCTAGAAGTCTAGGAGAAGAAAATGGTTTCACCATAGTGCTTTCACTCTATGCCTGGAAAAGCCACAGTGCTCACCTCCAATCAGTGGTAATCATCAGGGACATTGCACCTTGCGACACCACAGGGGTGGAGCTGTCCAAGACCTTGAAAGCCTACTTTCTGCACCAGTGTGCCCTGGGTGTGGGACATGGAATCAAAGAAGATACTTTTGGAGCTTTAATTACTGCCCTACTTGGTTTAAGATTGTGTGGGTCCTGTTACTCCTTTCTTTTGTCTGATTTCTCCCTTTTGGAACAGGAATGTTTACCCAATGCTTGTACCACCATTCATCTTGGGAGTAGATAACTTATTTTGATTTTGCAGGCTGATAGGTGCAGACAGATGAATTTCAGATGAGATTTAGCACTTTGATACTGAAGAGAGTTAAGACTTTTGGGGGCTATTGAGAGATGATTATATCTTGCATTGTGAGAAGAACATGAGATTTGGGAAGCCAGGGGTGGAATTATATGGTTTGTATTTTTGTTCCCTCCAAATTTCATGTTGAAATGTAATTCCTTGTGTTGGAAGTAGGGTCTAGTATGAGGTGTTTGTGTCTTTGGTACAGATCGCTCATGAATAGCTTGGTGCTGTCCTTGTGATAGTGAGTTCTCTCAAGATCTGGTTGTTTAAAAGTATGTGGCAACTCCCTACTCTCTCTTTTGCTCCTACTCTTTTTTTTTTTTTTTTTGAGACGGAGTCTCGCTCTGTCGCCCAGGCTGGAGTGTATTGGTGCGATCTCAGCTCACTGCAAGCTCTGCCTCCCGGGTTTATGCCATTCTCCCACCTCAGACTCCTGAGTATCTGGGATTACAGGCGCCCTCCACCATGCCCAGCTAATTATTTTGTATTATTAGTAGAGATGGGGTTTCACCGTGTTAGCCAGGATGGTCTCAATCTCCTGACCTTGTGATCCACCCGCCTTGGCCTCCCAAAGTGCTGGGATTACAGGTGTGAGCCACTGCGCCTGGCCCCTCTTGCTCCTACTCTCAACATGTGAGATACCTGCTTACCCCTCTTGCTCCTACTCTCAACATGTGAGATACCTGCTTGCCCTTCACCTTCTGCTGTGATTGTAAGCTCCCTGAGGCCCTCACCAGAAGAAGACGCTGGCATCAAACTTCCTGTGCAGCGTGCAGAAGTGTAAGCCAATTAAACCTCTTTTATTTAAAAATTACTCAGTCTTAGGTATTCCTTTATTGTAATGCAAATGAACTAATACAACCATCTCTTGAATCTGGAAGGAAAACACTACCATCAACAACAAGATTGTGCCAATATGATATTTAATAGAGATAACAAACCTAAGAGGGGCACTAGTATTATGACCAGTTTACACCAAGTAAACACAATTGCAGCTTCTGCACTTAAAGCTTTCCTGGCTGTGAAAGACAGCATGGTTCTATCTCAGCAGAAGTAGCTTCCTTGGCAAGCCACTTTCCTAGGGTGCCTCAGTAGTCTTTCTTGAGAGGTCAGACCAAGTCTCTCCAGTTCTTAAAAACTCCCTTAGGTCACTTAATACACTTTAATAAGTTGCTTTCTTCTGAAATCACGAATGGATTATGTTTTCTGTAACTACATTCTGGTGTGTAAAACATATAAGAAAATAAAGACAAAGCCACTTCACATGTTTTAGACTTGTTAATTGCAGTCAGAATTTGAATTCAGTTGGTGTGAGTTCAGAGTCTAAAATGTTTACTTATATAGCCTTTGCCAGTAAAGTATTTTAAGCATATCGAAAATGGACAAACAAGTGACACATTAGGAGGAGGCCCTTGGGAAATCTCATTGGGACCTAACTGAATTTCAGTAAAGTTCATATGCAATTAAATGCAGTGTCACAAAGTTATTCCCAAGTAATCTCAGAAATATAAAAACATATGAAATGTTTTTCAAAAAGATGAATGGACAAAAAACCCTATTTGAAATCACTGTACTTAATATACAGTTTTTGAGTTATTTCCCTTTATTATAAGTTCTCATACTAAATAAAATAGTGACAAATTCATTAAAATCATTGCTTAGAAATAACCCAGAAGGAACAATAAAGAAACAAAATACAAAGATAATAAGCAGAGAACATATTTTTAAAGATGGTAAATATAAATCCAAAGATAACTATAAATACATTGAATGATAAAGGGGTGCCAATTAGAAGTCAGAGATTGTTAGAATATAAAAAGGAAAGACCCAATTATAAACCATCTTCAAAATCTGTACTTTAAATGTGAACATATAGATGGCTTGAATATAAATGAATGAAAACAGATTTGCCATAAGCATGGAAAAAATCAGGAGGCTGGAGTGGTTATACTAATATGATATAATATAGACTTCAAGAGAAAGATTATCTTCAAAGATAAATAGGGACACTTCATTATAATAATAAGTTAATTAGGAAGACACAACAATGATAACATTATTGTTTTCTAATAACAGACATTCATATTATTACATGAAAAAAGATTAGCAGAATTAAAGAGAGCAAAAGACAATTCCTAAACCACAAGAGAGAAAATTAACACCCCTTCATCAACAATTGATAGAACAACCAGATAAAATAATGTAAATAAGTAAAACAATAATAAAGACATAGACAATCTGGACAACAGTATCAACCATCTTGATCTAATAGGCAATTATAGATACTAACTTTTTCCAGGAAACTTCTTTTGTGGAATTTGTATTTAAGGCTTACACTTTGACTTTTATACTAAATGTATAAGGTTAAATAAGCATAATAGTCTCGGTGTTTACTTCTTAATTTAAACATAAATATAGGAAGTAGGTTCTTAATTAATAATCTCAAATTCTGACTAGAGGGTAGTAAGTTACAACATATTATGAAGCAGAAAAATGGTCACCCATTTTATATTTACCCTTGCGTAGAAAAAATTATTTCATAAATCTTAGGCAATTTCAGAAATTTCAAAATTTTCTTTTACTTAAAGAATTGGAGGAAACTTGATTTTTTGTGAGAACAATTTTCTCATTTTTAAAATTATAGATTCATAGTAAGTTGTCTCTGTAGGACAGATAAGTCTTGCAAACAAACTCTTACAATTTCCCTTAACAGTGGCACATTATATCACTGTAGTACAACATGAAAACCAGGAAATTGGCATTGGTACTTGTATGGATGTGTGTGTGTGTGTGTGTGTGTGTGTGTGTTTGTGTGTGTGTGTGTGTGTGGTTCTATGTACTTTTATCACATATGTAGAAAATTGTTTGGAATGCTTAGATATGATCAGATACAGAGCTATTCCATCACCAAAACATATCTTGTGCTACTCCTTTACACTTACACCCATCCTTTTCTACTCCCTGAAACTTAATCCTTGGCAATCACTAATTTATTTTTTATATCTATGTAGCATGTGAATTTTGCAGGTTGGCATTGAATGAATGAACTTAACATTGTAACTTTGAGATCTACATAATTGTATGTATCAATGGTTTTTTTTATTGCTAAGTAGTAGTCTACTGTCTTAGTTCTCTCTTCTGTTCCACTGATCTATGCATCTATACCTCTGATAATAACAGTAGACTGCATATATGAACAATCTTTACTAAACTGAGGAAGTTCCCATATGCTCTTTGTTTTCTGAGAAATAGTACAATGGATGGATGTTGGATTTTGTCAAATTTCCGTATCAGTTGATAGAATCATGTGATTTTTTTATTTGCCCTATCACAGTTACATATGCTGATTGATTTTTAAAAATCAATACTTAAAATGGATTTTAAATTTAAAAACGTAAAGACTGATTTTTCTTGCATACCTGAAACAGGCATTTCTTGGTCATAGTATACATACGTTTCATACTTGATTATTTCTATTTGCTAATACTTTGTTAAGGATGCTTTTTACATCTGCATTTATGATGCTGGTTGGTCTGTAATTTTCTTTTTCTTTTATTTGTCTTTTCTTTTTCTGATTTTGGCATCAGGGTATTACTGGTGTTGTGGATTGAATTCTGCTCCCCACAAAATATATGTTGAAATTTTAACTCCTAGTACCTCTGAATGTGACCTTATTTCTGAACCGCTTCTTTAAAGAGATAACAAGGTTAAAGTGGAATAATTAGGGTGGCTTAACTCAATATGACTTATGTCAATATATAAAGAGAAAATTTGAACATAGACACAACCACTCACAGAGGAAGGGCAATGTGGAGACACAGGAAGAATATCATGTGGAGATGGAGGATTAAAATGATACATCTACAAGTCAAGAAATGCCAAAAATTGCTGGGAGCATACCAGAAGCTTGGAATATACCAGAAGGAATTCCTGTTGGGTTTCAAAGGGAGCATGCTTCTGACAATGCCTTGATTTCAGACTTTTAGACTCCAGAAATATGACACAATACATCTCTGTTAAGTCACACAACTTATGGTGCTTTGTCCCAGGAGTCATAGGAAATGGATACAACTGTCCTCATAACATGAGTTAGGAAGTGTTCTCACTTTTTCTATTTTCTGGAAGAAATTTTGTAGAATTAGTGTTGATTCTTCTTTAAAAATTTGGTATTACCCTTTAGTAAAGCCATCTAGGCCTGGATATTTTTTCTTTGAGGGTGTTTAAAATTCTGAATCTAATTTCCTTAATAGAGAGTTATTCAAACGATCCATTTCATGTCAAGGAATTGTGGTAGTTTGTGCTTTTTGAGGAAATGATTCATTTCATCAAAGTTGTCCAATGCATGCATGTAGAATTATTTGTAGTACTACCTTATTTTCTTTATGATGTATTCAACATGTGTAAAGATGTCCTCTGTTTCATTACTATGTCTTACCATGAATTTCTTTGGGTTTATCTTATTTGGTATTTACTCAACTTCTTGAATCCATAGGTTTATGTCTTTTGCTAAATTTGGCAAATTTCTGGTTATTACTACCTCAGCTACTTTTTCAGCCTCACAGTCTATCTTCTTCTTCTAAAACTTCAATGTTACAAACATTAGATATTGTGTTATGGTCTCACAGGTCTCTGAAGCTCTGTTCATTTGTTTTTAGATTCTGTGCATTTTTTTGATTATGACTTTTTTTCTTTTAAATTTCTATTATTTGTTTCTTTATATCTTTTTTTCTGAGTTCTATTTCATTGCTGAAAGTTTATTTTTAAACGTTTTAAGTGTGTTCAAAAATGCTAGTTAAAAAGTCTTTATTATGGCCTCTTTAATGTCCATGTCAGATAATTCCAGCATCTCTATCATCTCAATGTTGTCTGTTGATTATCTTTTATCATTCAAGTTGAAATATTTCTGCTTCTTGTTAAAATGAGTATGTTTCCATCACTTCCTGGATATTTAGGCTATTATGTTATGAGACCCTGGATCTCATTTAAATCCTCTGTTTTAGTAGGCCATTACTGGAACCACACTGGTAATATGAGGAAAGTGATGCTTTATTACTGCTTTGTAGGGGTAGAAGTCAAGGTTTCCCACTCAGCCTCTGGTGACATTTCAGGAGAGCGGAATGGTGCCTCATAACTGTTGGGTAAGGGTGGAAGAAAACTCTCTACTGAACTGTTGCTGCCACCATCCTGGCTACAAAGGGAGAAACACCTAAATACTCCTTCCCCTGTGGCCTCCACTGACACTGTGTGGGGATGGTTCTTTCCTGTCTGATGGAAATGAAGTCCCAGGTCCTGATTTGGGTTTATCAACTCTCTCACCCCAGTATGGGCAAAGGTCTTTGCCGAAAGTATGAGGGTGGGGCCACTGTTTCATTCTGCTTTATTCATGGTATTTAGCTGAAGTATGATGGTTATTGTCTAAAAGGTTTTTGTCTTGCTCAGCTGCCACTTTGCTTGTCCTTTTATAGAAGGAGAAGTCTTTTCTGAGGTCATTTTCTGCCTGAGATTTCCAGGACCCTGGTGTCTCTAACACCAAGTCCAGGATTATGAGGTAAAAAGAAAACCCAAGGACTTACCATCATGTTTCTCTTCCATTCTGAGGTCCCTAGGCAATCTGCTTTCTTATTTTCACCTTTTAAAAGCTCTCTTTATATTGCTTTATATGTAATGCCCAGCATTTTAATCTGTACTTAGCAGAACTAGGAAAAAATACATCTACTCCATCTTGTCCTGGAACCAGAAGCTCTGTAGTACCCTTTAAAATGTTATTTCTTGTCTCCTACCCCTGCTCGCCCTACTTTAAGAAAAAGAAATTTTCATTAAAGAAAGAAAATAAGCTACAAGTGAATCAGTAAAAATGCTGTGGGGAATGACAATATTAATTATTCTAGCAGAAATAATTAATTACATAATTAATATAACAGCAGAAATAATTTTAAATTCTAGCAGAAATAATTAATTATAAAATAATTATCATATATAATATCTATTCATATGTATAAAATATCTATTCTTACTTTGTGGGTTAGTTTGATCTATCTTTGCCTCTTCAGGCATTATTCCAGTGCCCTGTCATGATTTGCTTACATTTTATTGTCTTCTTTTTTTAAACATAGTATAGTCTCTTTTTTAAAAAGGCAGTATAATCTTTTAAAAGTTCTGTATTTTGTGTACTTAAATTCTTCGAAGAGTCTCTTTAAATGCAAGACAGAATAATTTTATTTAGTATTTAATTGATTGATACCAAACTGAATTTAGGTTACTTGAGAGTTTTTTTTTTCCCTCTTAGATCCCTGCCCAAAATGTTTACTATTACATATTTACAAATCAAGGGTACATTACTACCATTTTTCTAGTGACTTTCAGAGTAAATATTTCTTCTTACTCATTTAACTTGGAATCTGGGAATAATTGAGGCAAAAGAAAATAAAAAACTCATATCAAAATATCACATTTTTGTGTTGCAATCTCTCAGGCAGAAATTAGGTGCATACTGAATCACTATATTATAGAAATAATAGTAAAGCATGTATAAAGTTATTGTATCTAAATGGCAAAAGGGACTTAAGAAAACAAACATTCACTTTCTCTTTTCAGTAACAAGTATAACTGTAATGTTATAAAAATAGTTTTGTAATTTATCTTTTAGGGAGCACTGACATTCAGTAAGAATGCATTTTGTTTGTTCAAAAAGGGCATTAAAGCTATTTATGATCTGAACTTGCTATTGCAGAATTCTAGATTATAGCTATAATTTATTGGCCACCTACAATGTAATTTTCATATGTATTATAATTTAACTCTTAAAAAATACTTCAGAGAAATTAATTCTGTTTTACTTATGAGACAAATGTAGTTCAATGAATTTGAGTAACTTTCCCACTGTAACAGTAGGTATTAGAACCAAGGTCCAACTCAGGCCTTTTTTGTTCAAGACTCATTGTACAATGGAGAACTATCTTTCAATATTATTAATTGTCACCTTAAATAGGGTTCATTAGCTATTTTAAGATTATTTTGTTTACCGAATAATATTTAATTAAAAGGCATATTTGAAAATATTACTTCAGCTTTGATAGATCTTTCTATTTTTTCTTTTTATAGAGATAATGATATGTGTACAAGTTATTTTTTAAATAAAGTATAAGTAGCAGTATTCTTGTAAAGGATGATGTTTCATAAACATAGAAGAGTGACAAAGCAGATAATTCTGAATTCCTGTTGCTTCCTTGAGGACAGATTTATGATGATGTGATGATAGTTTTCTTTTCTTAATGCTTCAAAAGAAATTCATGTGAAATATATCTGAGCAGTTTTTGAACAGAGAATGCCAAAATCTGAAGTAGAAGAGAAGTGTGAGCAATGTCCTCTGCTATTAGAGTATTAACCAAGTATATCAGGACTTTAAACTTATCAGATATTTATTTCAAGTGTCATTTCAAAAGGCATAATTCTACTATTTTTAAAAAATAAAAATAATACAGCCCCCTCCCCCCAGGCTTAAAGATATGAAAAACTCCGCTTTTGTCTACTTTTCATGCTCTTCTGACTTCCTTCTCATATTGGCCTATAGGGAGAATCATTTTACATCTGCTTAGTTCCTAGGGATTGTTATTATGCTTCTTTTTAAGAGATATAAGGTAACCCATCTTAGAGAAAATGAAAAACTGTCTGTATCTGCTGCAAAAAACTTGATGACACTGAATTTATGATGCTTGGGAGAAGACTCAAACTGAACAAATTTACGTTTGTTTGGAGCTAGTCTTTCTTTGAGAATTTATAACCCACCACTGTCAAATTCCAGAGAAAGTGAAAAGTTATGTTAAATTTGTATTTTATATTTTAAAATTTTGATTAAGTAAAAAATTCATTTTATATTTTGTGGTATAAACATGCAAATACATATTTGAACACAGTAGGCTTAAATTTTATTTCTTGATGAAAAACTGCAGTCCAATGATGGAGAAAAATAGAAGACAGAAAAAAAGCCATTTGAAATAAAATTATTATAAAATTATAACCAAAAATTTCTGTTAAACCATAAGCAAATTGCAATATTTCAAGTGAGACTTTTTCCATGATCTTATTATCACTACTAGTAATAATGATTGTTAACGTTTATGGTGTGCTTACCACGTCCATTCTCCTAAACATTTTATACTAATTTTCTAATTTATTTCTCCATACTCAATTTATTTCTTATACAGAAGAAATTGAAAATATTTTCATTTTATAGATAACAAAATTGAGAATTTGAAAATCTAAGTTCCTCACCAAGTTAGAAAGAGACTCAAAATTTGAACACAGCTGTACACCAAAGCCTGCATTGTGAACATGGTAGTGTACACCCTGCAAATGGTGCTGAGGCCAATACAGATATACACACATTAAAAGATAAATCCCATTTTATACTTTTTTCCTAACTCTGTTTTTACTGATTTGCACTTTTCGGTTATTATTTATGAACCCTGACCGGCCTCAGAATAAATAAATGTCTTTGCCTTCATTTGACATCTAATAGCCTCTTGGCATTTTCAATCAGAATTAGAGAAAAGCATAATTTCCCAAGCTGCTTGTGACAGTTTAAACATGTAGTCTAGAGAGGAAAAAAGAAAGGACTTCCACTAGTTATATAAAATCTCAAACAGTAATATTTATTATTGATATGTTCAGGGCCCCACTGGATATCACTATGCTGTAGCAACAGCAAAGAAATGCAGAGACTAGTCGTCAAAATAATGGAATAAAGCTAACTCTTTCTTTAGAAAATATTTCAAGAGTATTTTATCCTCTGCCTCGAAGTGCAATATAGCTCTACACAATTTTGTTGACTAGAACATTCATGATTCTGTCCTGCAAATATTTTCTTTGGTGATTCAAATTAACACACTTTAACACTACAGCCAAATATTGTTTCTGATATGCATTGACTAACAGAAAACCACTCACAATTTTTGAAGCATTGCATTTTGATTGTTTTCATGTGTTTTAGTGGGAAGATAAAAGAAGTTGTATCAAAGACTGCTTATCATATGATATTTTAAATTGGAATGCTTACTGAAATCTCTTGACTAAAGCAAAACTGAAAATAAACTAGCATGTGACATTGCCTCACTAGATATCTCTTTATTCCAAGGTATAGATTCCAATTATATGTTGTTTTATATATTTTAGAAAAAGCAAAGGAACTCAGAACGTTTACTGTTCATTTCATATATGTAGAGAGATGTTCAGTCTTGAAGGATTGTGTCAAAATTACTCTTGCAGATTCAAAAATACGGAACACAGATTCTGCAAAATGAAGTTCACCTCAAGAACATATTCAAAATCTATTACCTTGAAGCCTGATGCTGTCAGTGCAGATGGAATAACCTGACAGCTGGTGGTCAAGATATCCTGGTATTCATGATGCTGGTGAAGTTGAATAGCTGAACTGTACTTTGATTGGTAAGAAAATGATGTCTCAAGACACTGCATCTTATCCACCATTACTCATTAATTGCCTCAGAAATTTTAGCTAATTTTTAAATGCAAATAACTGATATAGTTTCTACATTGTTTTCTCACAAATGCTTTTATGAAAGGTTTTGAGAGTACATATTTTTAAATGCAAAATTTATGGTCTATGCTCCTAGAAGTGCAGTTATACAGTTACTTACATCTTTAAAGCAATCTGTTTTCAGAAAACGATTGATGAATAACTTGCTTTATTATCTAAGTAAAATAAAAGGTTTAAGGGGTACCCTTTTTGTGTGTGATTTGCACCCTTTTTTTATTTGCATTGTAAAACTAGATATGCACCTTTTGTTGTAAAGACGTACATGAGCATATTAGCTTCCATTCAAATTCCTTTGATTCTCTCTGTCTCTCTCTTTCTCTCTCTCTCTCAGAAAGCGGGGAGAGAGAGAGAGAGAGAGAGACAAAGGGACAGAGTCAAAGAAATTTGTATGAATGCAAGTCAATATTTGCACCTACCATTTTAAGTGAACTATACCTCTCTCTCTCGTGTGTGTGTGTGGGTGTGTGTGTGTGTGTGTGTGTAAAAGAGAGATGGAGGGGGAGAGAGAGAATACATTTTTCAATGGTGTTGCATTTCTCAGTGGGCTCAATAGAAAGGAACATTATGTATAACTTTGGAGACTACTAATGCTTTATGAAGTGAAAATTCAACTACTCTAATGTTTATTGACTGGAGTTCTCAACATTCTTCCTAAGCAGAGTCTTTGTAAACTTCCACCCTTTATAGGTTTATTATTTAGTAATTGATGATGCAACTTCTGATAGGTCAATTATTTCTCATCCAAGCCCATTAAAACCCTTGCATTTAGAAACATCAGAGCTCTTAGAATTTTATATCATCATGTAAAATAATTTCTCCAAATTTATCAAATTCTTCATCACTTAACACATTCATTTTTTTAGCAGGCTTTTAGAAGAGACATACTATCTGCTCTAAACTAAGTAAATATTAGATTCAGACAAGGTATTAAGAGGCAAACACACTCTCCAGGAATTTGTAGTCTAGTACACAGACAGCATTGGATTTAGGATCAGACACAATGTAATTGCCATCTGTGCTCCAACACTTACTTAGATATGTGACTTAGAGATGTTCTGAAGAAAAATTAGATAATATTTGTAAAATGCTTATTACACTCTAAAGTACAAGATAAATAGTAAATAAATAGGATTTTTAAAATTCAATAATTTTATTCAAATATAGATATGCTACTAATGGAATGACCTTAAAAATTCTTATGTTTCTGATGAATTGTACGACAAATATTCTAACCATTGATTTGTCTGCATATATTTTTTCTTCAACTTAAAATATTACAGAGGACAAATGAGGAATAATATTTCTTACACCACTAATATTGTCCAGGTTGAATAATTTTGAATTTGTAAACATACTTGTTTACATATATTTGGCTTTGTAAAAAGACATGTCTTTACAAGTTAAAAGATTATACTAAAAAGAGAAGGTTGTTACATATTTAAGGTTAACTTTCTTAAGTAAACTTAAAACCAAAAAAAAATGAAAAGAAATCAACAAATTTTCATAAAGTAATTCCATGCATGTAACGAGTACATAGATCAAGGAGAGCAATATTAGCACTCCAGAGTTCCCTCTGCATCCCTTTAAGTCACTCTCTGACAAAATTAACCACTGTCCTGATTTTTTGCATGATAGAATAATTCCACTCTGTTGGAACTAGTATAAATGGAATCATGCAGTATATTATCTTTTAACTCTGGGTTCTTTCACTTGACATTATGATTTTAGATTCAGTGATGTTGAACCTAGCAGTAGTTTGTCCATTCTCATGATTGTGCAGTATTTCATTACAAGGATATAGCACAATTTGTTTATCCATTCTAATGTTGATGAACATTTGGTTTCTGGATTTTGATTCTTGTATATTATGCTGCTAAGAACATTTTTGTACCTGTTTTTGCGGGAAGTGTGGCTGCATACCTGTTTAGAGCAAGATGTACTCTTTTGTGTTTGGCTTTTTTGTCTCAATATTATGCTTGTGAGATCCACCCATGCTGCTATTAATAGACATAGTTCATTTGTTCCCTTTACCCTACAATGTTGGAGCCCTGTGTCTTGATATGTGTGTTTCCTTGCTGGTTTTCCTGTTGCTGGTTGCACAATTTTTCTGACTTAGGATGAATTTGCTTAGAATGATGTTTGCCCCAGAGAACAACTGTTAGTAGCATACTCATTCTCTGCCTTTTTACTCTCATCTTGAAACGGCACTTTAGTCAGTTTAACACTTGGCAATCAATGCTTAGTGGCTCAGTACAATGAACTATGACTGTTACCATTTGAAAAGCTGAAGAAATACTCACTCTATACAAAGAGTTAAAACTATTTCAGTATTTTCTAATTTAGTAGCCACTGACTTTATTGTTATTTTACTTTATTTTATTTTCTCCTGAAAATAATTTATATTTAAACAAAGTCGATGCTTAATATACTAAAACCTTTACTTTTCCTTACTTTTGTACCTCACAGCATATATTACTTTCTCATGTGTTTCTAAAAATGTGAAAAGTATAGGGTAGGAAGAAACTTGCTTAGATTTGTTCAAAATGAAAGTTTATGTAAAACTGGAAAAAATGACTCAGCTACATTTGTCCTGTCAGGTGGCTCCAGGATTCTCGCCAGTAAATTGCATGCTGGATAGTTCTTCAGATATTGTTGGTTTTATCTCTATTTTAAATAATCAACCATGCCACTTATACTTTATCCCACCTTGGTATTTACTTACTGATACTATGTAAAGTTCCATCTCTTCTTCATTGCCTAAAGACACTTTTATTACTAAGAAAAATTTTACTACTGAAGTACTATGTCTATTTTGCATCCATTTATTTCTTTGCATTGTAAAACTAGATATGCACCTTTTGTTGTAAAGAGGTACACGAAAATATTGGCTTCCATTTAAATTCGTTTGACTCTCTCTGTCTCTCTCTCTGTCACACACACACACACACACACACACATACAGAGAGAGAGAGAGAAAGAGAGTGAAAGGGACAGAGTCAAAGAAATTTGTATTAATGGAAGTCAATATTTGCATGTACCATTTTGCTTTTCTGGCTTTCTTGCATTTGCATGGCTTTTCTGCTATTAATACATAGTTTTAACATTCCTTAGAGATCTTTAGTAAAGATCTATTTGTAAAGAGCTAAAAGCGAGGCTTTAGTAGATAGTTTTTGTAGCACGAGATTCTCAAAAATACATACAAAGGCAACTTATGTTACCCAATGATATTTTAGAGTAGGTTTAAAACAAACAACAGGTTGTTATCTATTTTTTATTTTTCTCAAATTATTATGTTTTAAGAAAAGAACTGTTGGAGAGGTGAGCTGGAATATTTTAATCCTGGAAGATAAAATAACGAGAAGGACATCTGAGAATAATAAATTAATATTTAACTATTCTTTAGGATATTACATGAACTATCAAAGAAAAGCTGCACCAGCCAGAGTTAAACAGCCAAAGAAGACTTTATTAGAGACTATTGTAATGTGAATAAAGACTGCGAGAGAGTTTAATTTAATTCTGCTGAAATGAAAGATGGGAAGATATTTAAAGGATGGTTGAGCTAATGGAAAAGTACAGGAGGACATCAGGGATACCAATGGTCAATATGAATAGGCCATCTGTGTTTGCTAATCGGGGCTTATCAAAGGTGGTTCTTACGCTCCCATAAAGACTGAGAGATAAAAGCCCTATCTTTCAAATAAGTAGAGGACGAATTTACAATTACAAGTTTTCCAAAGTAAATCTCTAAGGAAGATCAGGGGATTATAATGAGGAAGAAACCTGTGTAAACTTTATTCAAGCTGAGAGGAACATTAAGGACCTCTTGGTCAATACAAAGTATTTTTTACATACATAATCATTTACAGGAGTATCTTTCTCTTTTTAATTCAGTAACTTATTTCTTGAAAACCAACCAACCAACCAACCAACCTTGTACTTACTTTTGGTATGAATATGAGAATTGATCTTTACTATGTATCTTTTTTAGGCAGAGTTATAAAAACAAATAAATATTTATTATGATACACATGGTAATAATATCCAAAGACATAGTTCCATAGTTTTAATATAAAAATAAAATTAATAAGTGTAACTTTTTTCAAGAATCCAGTATTCAACCTTAATACCAACTGCTTGCTATAGTTTATATTTTTGAGATAAGTCCAGTTATCTGGTTTTCTATAAATCAGACCTGATAAGTTTAATTTTTTCTGACTATAAATGAGTCCCACAAGCAATGACTTCCAATGGACCATAGACAATTTGAAGTTGCTATTAATGTAAGTCAGTGTTCCTGTAAAATAACAATAATAAAAATATTTTAGCTTTTTTGTCTTATGTGCAACAAATATATTTATTCACTATTAAAACAATGGAATTTTATAATCAGAGAAGAAAGCATGAAAAAAATCTTTAAATTACCTTTTGCATGTTAATTGCCCACTCTTTAAAAGTCTGTTGACACTTAGTGGTTTTGCACAGTGTTATATAAATTACCACTTCCTGTTTTGCTCTTACTTATAGATTTCCTGTCTCCTACATTTACTGTCCTACATAAATACTTTCCCCATATGTCTGTCAAACTGCTACTTTTAAAATTCACATTGTTACATAAAATAAATGATGTGAAGCACAAATTTCACTAAAATTTATTTTTCATATAATGACTATACTTTCTATTACAAATAAATGTAAAAGAAGTAAAGCAGTTTTAAAATCACTTTTCTAGAAGTATATTATTTCAAATATAAAATAATTTGTTTTCCTCATTAATAAGTCAAAATAAAACCACAGACTACTGATTTTTAAATCACTTTGCATATGTGATAGCTGTTACTATACTTCTCATTATACAGTGTTTCAAACAATTTCTTTCTAAAATTTAATCAAAAATGAATATATTTTGAAAATGAATGCATAAATATATATGGAACTCCTTTGGCTTTCACATGACTTTAATATAAGAGCTGGTTGTAGCTTTTGAACAAAACAAACAAAAAATAAGAATAAGCTTCTTTGTGGAATTACTCTAAGGGTTTTGTTTTTGTCACTATAAATAACCTGCTGGTTTCCATACATACATTTTGTATAAACTTGATATTATAAACACAATGAATCACAGATTTTAAAACAATTATCCATTATTTACCTTGTATTATTTTGTTCTAACTTAGATTCTGATCTATCTCACTAAACCACAGAGTAATCTATGAACCAGAGTGAATGAGAGAAGGCTCAAATTGCTTTTTTAAGTGCATTAGACTCTGACAAATGAGTAGGTTCAATTTTAAGATCCATTCTATATGTTCTGTGGAATCTGTAAGAGAAAGAAATGAGAAATAGGATATTAAAATGTCATCAAAGGAGGAATAACTTCAGAAAATCTAATAAAAAATGTTGGGGCAAGTGGTAGCATAAATGAGACTATAATTTCTTGTCATATTTATTACCATAATATTTTCTATTTTTCTGCTCTCTGCTTTCCAAGAACCTGCAGAGATTGGCCAATTGTTGGACAATAGCTGTGTTCTCTTCCTCTTTGGCACTCTGCTAGACTTTTCTCAAGCTGTCACTTGGAGACATGTGACAGAGCTGTGGCCAAAGCAATGTCAGTTTAAGTGATAGACACCACTTCCAAGCCTGATTGCCTGTAAAATTTCTGGCATAATGTGCCAAATTATCTTGCCTTCCTCGCTTGCTGGCAAGATGCAGAGGATCTAGTGAATGATTCCAATTTTCTAAGGAAGACGTATAAAAAAGAGAAGGCTTGATCTTTGAATGACACTATGAAGTAGAGTTTCCCAAAGATCAACTGTCATTGAACTCCACTGCAAATAACAAATAAACTCTGAGAAGTTGGAAAGTTGTTAAAATAGTAATTACTGTGATAATACTTAGCATGAATAACATGGATATATATTGGTTGTTAGTTGTCTGTAGTCGCCTTTTCATGGTATTGAAATATGTTGAACATCACAATAGGACAAAGTTTTCCATTTGTAAAAAGTATTACTTAAATGTTTCACCTACTCAGTGCACCAGAATCTTGACTAAAATGTGCTCAAAAAGAGATATTTGAACCATACTGGCCTCCAGTGAAACTTGGAGCATATTGTAAAAATTCTTAATCTTGGGATGTAATAAAAGATATAATAGAAATACCTATTTGAATAACAGAATTGAGATTATCACATGACATTACATGTATGTGTATATATGCATATACACATTTATATTATATAATTTAATGTATAGAAGTATGCATATTTTATTTAACACATACTAAGTTTATTATATAATTATAGCAAAGTATGTAAATTATATGTTATACACCTAATATGTAATTAGTTAAAGAAAAAAATCACCATTAAAAACTTGATATGAATGTTAAATATTTCATTTGGCATGGATTTAGAGCTATCCCTTTGCCAGTGTTGCAAAAACAAAGGTCTTTGTTCTCTCTCTCAGTTTTTCTTACTATATTGTTCAGTTATAAGAAGGTTCTCTTTTGTTATACTCATATTTTCGTCCGATGTGTGCTGAGATGTTGTCTTCTTATAAAAGACCTTCAAAATTTGGCGAAGTTGTTGAGTATGTATTTTAAGCACATTCCTTTTTTTTGAGTATTAAATTTTTCAATATTATATTTAAAAAATAAAATAGAATATCACTTTCCTGATAAGAACTATGACGTGTCAAAGAGATTTTATTTTGGTAGAAAATAAAAGACTCACGCCTGTAATCCCAGCACTTTGGGAGGCCGAGGCGGGCGGATCACGAGGTCAGGAGATCGAGACCATCCCGGCTAAAACGGTGAAACCCCGTCTCTACTAAAAATACAAAAAATTAGCCGGGCGTAGTGGCGGGCGCCTGTAGTCCCAGCTACTTGGGAGGCTGAGGCAGGAGAATGGCGTGAACCCGGGAGGCGGAGCTTGCAGTGAGCCGAGATCCCGCCACTGCACTCCAGCCTGGGCGACAGAGCGAGACTCCGTCTCAAAAAAAAAAAAAAAAAAAAAAAAAAGAAAATAAAAGACTACTGGATCAGAAATCAGAAACAAAGGAGTTTATTGCTCACACCAATAACATTGGCCAGACATAGATTGGCAGAATGAAAAAATTTACAAGACCCAAACACCTCCTAGCTTCAGGACACTCATTTTAGATTTAAGGATATGTATACGTTGAAAGTGAAGGGGTGGAAAAAAAATTTTCCATGCAACTCATAACCAAACATTGTAGGGTTGGCTATTCAGTACTTATATCAGACAAAATAAACTTTAAGTAAAAAAATTATCACGAGACAAACCAGTACATTATATAAGGATAAAATTGTCAATTCACTGGAAAGATGTAACAATTGTAGATGTATATGCACTCAACATCAGAGCACCTACAAAGCAAACATGCACAGAATTGAAAGGGGGAACAAACAGCATGCAGTTACTGACTTCTATTGTAGTACACTGTGGTAGCAGACTTATCCCACTTTCAATACTGGAAAGAACATCAAGACAGAAGATCAATAAAGAAACAGAGAAGTTGAATAAAACTATAGACCAATGGACCTAATAGACCTATATACAGAAGATTTCATCCAAATAGCAGTAAAATACACATTCTTCTCAAATTCATGAATATTTCATGAGGATAGGTCACATTTTAGTTCACAAAAATGTCACAAAAAATTTAAGAAGACTGAAACTACACTACATATATTTTCTGACCATAATAAAATAAAAATAGAAATGACTAACATAAGAAACACAGGAAAATTTACAAATAAGTAGATATCGAACAACACACTCTTGGACAACCATGAATCAAAAAAGACATCAAAAGAAAAGTTGAAAAAAAAAAACTCAAGACAAATAAAAATAAAAAACACAATATTCTGGAACCTAAGGGATGCAGCAAAAGCCACAGTAAAGAGAAAGTCTCAAATAAACAACCTAACTTTATACCTCATAAAATAGAGAAAGAACAAATAAACTGTAATTAGCAGTAGAAATAAAATAACAAAGTTTAGAGCAAAAATAAACCAAGTAGAAAATAAAAAAATAAATGAATCTCAGAGTAGGTTTTTTGGAAAAGATAAAATAATTGACAAAACCTTAGCCAGCTTTACTAAGGAAAAAGGACAGAAGGCAGAAATATCAGATATGAAAGAAGAGATATTGTAACTGATACCAGTAATAAGAAAAATCATCAAAAGGTTATAATTGTTCATAATTTTAATATATATTACATATAATATGAACAATATGATGTATATTAGACATATTATTATTAACAATTATATGCTAACAAATTGGATAACCTAGAAGGTTGGATAAACTCCTGGAAACATACAACCTGCCAAAACCAAATCATGAAGAAATAGAAAACTTGAACAGATCAATAATGAATACAGAGACTGAATCAAGAATCCAACATTTTCCAACAATGAAAAGCCCAGGAGCAGATGGCCTCACTGGAGAATTTGATTAAACCTTTAAAGAATTAACACCAATCCTTCTTAACACTCCTAAAAAATTATAAAAAGGGCACATTTCCAAACTAATTTTATAGGTCAGCATTACACTATACCAAAGATAGAAAAACACTCTAGAACAGTTAAAAAAAAATATATAAAAAAAAACCTAGAGGCCAACATTCTTGATTAACATAAATACAAAAATCTTGAAAAAATATGAGCAAACTGAGTTTAGCAGCACCTTAAAGAGATCATATACTGTAACCAAGTGGGCTTGATCTATGGGATGCAAAGATGATTCAACATATGCAAGCCAATTCATGTGATACATCACATTCACAGAATAAAAGATCATGTGATCATCTCAAAACATTGGAGAACATTCGACATTCTTTTGTAATAAAACAAAACAAAACAGATACTCTCAACTCAAAAAACTAGGTACAGACATGCTGTCATAAAATGAAGTTTCAGTCAATAGACTGCCTATATGATAGTGGTCCCATAAGTTTATAATACCATATTTTCACTGTACTTCTTCTGTGTCTAAATATGTTTAGATATATGAATGCTTACTATGGTGTTATGATTGCTACAGTATTCAGTAGAGTAATATGCTGTACAGATTTGTAGCCTAGGGACAGTAGACTATATCATATAACCCAGTTTTGTATTAGGCTATATTAACTAGGTTTGTGTAAGTGCATTCTATGATGTTTGCACAATGATGAATGCCTAAGGAGGCATTTGTCAGAACATATCCCTGTGGTTAAGTGACACATGACTGCATAGAAAGAATTTACCTCAACATAGTGAAGGCTGTATATGACAGGCCTACAGCTAACATCACACTTCATAACAAAAAGTTGAAAGCTTTTTTTAAGAACAGGAATAAGGCAAGCATGTCAACGTTCCCCATTTCTACTCAACAAGGAAGTATAACTTCTACCCAGAGTAATTAGGCAGGAAAACAAGTAAAAGACACCCAAACTGGAAAAGAAGAAGTAAAGTTACCTCTGCTAACGACATGAACTTATATATAGAAAATCCTAAAGACTCAATTAAAAAAACTGTTAGAACTAATAAACAAATTCAGTAAAGTGGCAGAATACAAAATCAACATTAAAAAATCAGTTGTGTTTTTTACACTAAAAATGAGATATCTCAAAATAAGAATAGACAAATAATCTAATTTATGATAGGACAAAAAAATAAAATACCTAATGATAAACTTCACCAAGAAGGTGAAAGATTTGTACCCCGAAAACTATAATACAAAAAATTAAATATAACTTTAAAAATAGATGAAATATATCCTATGTTCATGGTTGGAACACTTAATATTGTTAAAATGCTCATACTACTCAAACCAATCTACAGATTTAATGCAACACTTATCAAACTCCCAATGGCATTTTTTACAGAAATCAAAAATTTTTCTGAAATTCATATGGACACACAAAAGACCTGGAATAGCCAAAGTAATCTTGAACTAGGAGAACAAAGGTGGGACATCAGACTTCCTGACTTTAAAATCTATTAGAAAACTATAACAATTAATATAGTATTGTACTGACATAAAACAGAGATATATACCTGTTTTATATATATATGAAACACAATAGAGGTTGTGAAATAAATTCATACATATATGGTCAACTGATTTTTACGAGTGTCAAGAATACGAAATAAGCAAAACACAGTATGCTCAACTAATAGTGTGGAGAAAACTGTATATCTGCATCTTAAAGAATGGAATTGGATCCTTATCTTAACCATTCACAAAAATCAACTCAAAGTGGATTAAAAATTTAAATGTAAGACCAGAAATTAGAAAAATCATGGAAGAAAACAGAAAAAAAGCTTTATGACTCTGTACTTGGAAATAATTTATTGAATATGGCAGCAAAAGTACAAGCAAAAAAGCAAAATTAGACATACTGAACTATACAAAACTAAAAATCTTCTTCATAGTAAAGAAAACAATCATCAGTGTAAAAAGGCAATATTCAGAATGAGAGAAAATATTAGCTAACCATATAGCGGATAAGGGATTAATATCCAAAATGCATAAGTCATTTTAAATCTCAATAGCATAAAACAAGTAAAACAATTAAAATGGACAAAAGAATTGAGTATTTATTTAAAGAAGACATACAAATTATTAGCAAGAATACAAAGAGGTGCTCAACACCTCAACATCTCTAATAATCAGGAAAATGCAAATCAAAACCACAAGATATCAATTCACTCCTGTAAGGATGTCCCTATCAAAATAAAACCCATGAGTTAACAAGTGTCAGAGAGGATGTGGAGAAATTGAAACCCTTGGACCATTGTTGGTGACTATTGAAACTAGTATGGAGGTTCCTCAAAAAATAAAAAATAGAAATATTATATGATCCAGCAATCTCATTTTGAGTTATGTACTCAAAAGAATTGAACTAAGGACCTCAAAGAGGTATTTGCACTCCCATGTTCATTACAGGGTTATTTATAATAATGAAGTTATGGAAACAGCCCAAATGTCCATTAACAGATGAACGGATAAAGAAAACGTGGTGTGCACATACGATGAACTATTATTCAGCCTTAGAAATGAAAAAAATCCTGCCACTTGCTACATGGATGAAGCTGAAGGACATTATTCTAAGTGAAACAAGCTGGATACAATACTGCATAATTCCTCTGGCATGAGATATATAAAATATTCAAACTTACAGAAGCAGAAAGTAGAGTGGTGGTTGTTAAGAGTGGTGGGAGAGGACAATAAGTTTTTCTCAATGGATATAAAGTTTCAGTTTAAGATCATTAAGTTTTAGAGAACTACTATATAACATGGCACGTATAGTTAAAAATATTGTATTGTGTACTTAAAATTTTGTTAAGATGTTAAATCTCATTTTAAGTATTCTTACCACAAAAAAACAAGAACTCAAGAAATCTACTGGAGGTGATGGATATGTCTACTACTGTGATTGTGGTGATGGTTTCATGGGTGAATGCATGTGGCCAAACTCATCAAATTGTATATATTAAATGTATATACATTAAATGTTTTGTATCTCAATTATACTTTAATAAAGCTGTTAAAAAATTCAAATTATATGATTAAAAAATACTCTGTGTGAATGTACCTGGACACATTTTTAAAATTTGATCTTTCCATTACATTAGCATGATACATTATATTAATATGATGTAGTAACAAAAGATTAAAGGTCTGGAATTACAGGCTAATGTTCCTACACACTACGTGTAGGCCCTTGAGTGAGTCAAACTCTTGGGTCTTATTCCCCCATATGTAGAAGATATACACTGGGTTTTATAATTTATAAGGTAATAGCAGTTTTAAAATTCTGCCATTTTATGTAGTCCAAATAAATGGATAGGGAGAGGAATGAAATATTAACTTTGGACATAGGTTATCAGAAGTTTGGAAAACCAATGACTACGCTTTACTACACATGGCTACTAAACATATTTTGCATAGTTACATAAAAATGACCATAAACATTTGTAATTGATATTACATAAAGTATTGGAATAGCATGGAAATCATTTAAAATTATGAGTTCATGTCCTTTGTAGGGACATGGATGAAGCTGGAGACCATCATTCTGAGCAAACTATCGCAAGGATAGAAAACCAAACACCGCATGTTCTCACTCATAGGTGGGAATTGAACAATGAGAACACTTGGACACAGGGTGGGGAACATCACACACTGGGGCCTCTCGTGGGGTGGAGGGAGGCGGGAGGGATAGCATTAGGAGATATACCTAATGTAAATGATGAGTTAATGGGTGCAGCACACCTACATGGCACATGTATACATATGTAACAAACCTGCACCTTGTGCACATGTACCCTAGAACTTAAAGTATAATTTTTAAAAAATCACTAGAAAAAAAATCATGGGGCTTATGTCATGTTTAGATTTGAGGCTTGTAAGGTGTATCTTTGTCAGTACCATCAAAAATTCTACTGGTCTGTTACATCTAATTCAGGAGTACTTTAAATTTTTTTCCCCAAAGAAAACAAGTCAGGTACAATGAAACAAGCAAAATGTAATGGAGAAAAACAATGTATTAAACATGCTGCAGACTTCCCATACATTAACTTGTCTGGCCAAAGGTATTTGCTAATTCATTTAGCCCTAACCTTGTCTTGAAAACTCACAGCTGGTTACAAATCCAATCTTTTACAAAGCTACATACCTGCAAGCAGCTAAAAGAAATATTCAAGTGCAACTCCAACTTCAATGGGAAGTTAATCATTAAGTTAACTTTCTGGTTTTCTTGCACAGTTGAGTCAATCATGTTGAAATTTTCCTTCTAACATTTTGCCCCTTCCCATGCCTAAAAGTGATTTGGCCCTAGAAGGAGAGTGAAAAAACAAAATAAAACATTATTGATAGAACAACTGGCTACAGGAATAGCTGCTCTGGAACCATTGAGCCTATTATTCCATTGCTGGTGAGCCACTTTGTTCAATGAACATGAGTGTTTTAGGTTTCTTATCTTACCAACATTTCAGATTTCAAAAACAAATATTTTACTTACTTTTCTTAACTTTTTTGGCAATGTAGTTGTCTGCATGCATTCAATATGACTGTTCTATCTTCCTTCTCCTCCATTTAACTATGATCAATTATATCACTAGTATATACCAAATATTATATTTGATAGTAAATCTGATTGAATCAGAAGTTATAACAACATTAAATAGTCAGGGCTGCATTTTACATGCAAAGACAATGTTTAAAAAAATTAAAATTTCCATGAAACTGGACTGTCACCTAACTTATTCCTAAAGGAACTTGATCTTACTTTCTGTAAAGCTAAAAACTTCAGTATATTCTGGAAACCTTCAGAAGACAAAAATTCACCAAACTCAGGTACTGCCAAATGAAATAATAGAGGCTTTAAAAAAGTCAAATTTGGTATTATTGAAAGCTCCAGATAGAAATTAATTATATGGCCATACTCTACTCAATTATTTGTGCATAAAGAGGCTTACATGGGTAGAACTTTTAGCTGTGTCTATATAAAGATTCAGATGAAAACATGAGACCAGCCTTCTTTTTAAATCAAGTGCCTTTGATATTATTTGTCTTGTCACAATGTGAAAGAACTGTTAAGAAAAACTATAAATATTTTGAAAATCAAAAGATACTATGATGGAAGTTTTAAAAACCCCATCTAAGATTTTTTGTTGTTATTTACTATTTGAAGATTACTAAACCACCTGAGTCCAGATTTCAAAACCTTAAATACCCTCTTAACCTTCTCCTCCAAAACTACTAAAAGTCTGTCAGGTTGTATTCTCTCTTATTAAAAAGTCTAATAAACAGCTAATTTTGAACAATGGGTTTAAGTCTAAGTAGCTTGTTATAGCCACATGTTCTGTCTGCTAAATCTTTCCTGATCCTGGTATGCTTTGGGACAACTGGTTGTGCTTTTTACTTTGGATTAAATTGCTGAGGAAAATTCTTGTTCCTGTGATTAATTCTTCACCATCCCTATTCTTTCCTTTTGTCTACTTCATCTCATACCCCACTTGCTCTTTCCTATCCCATACAAGACAAGAATTCTTGCCACCTTCTCCCTGAGAAGTTGGACTGGGTAGTGGACTGGAGAAAGGTATCATTTATGTTACATTTAAACTCCTGTTATCCTGGGTAATTTTTCAACAGATCCTTACTGTGTTATTTGAAAATGCAATAACTGGCAGCAACCCCATTTGCCTAGATAAGTGATGCTAGGCTCTGAATGTTTTTCACCCTCTAACATTTATATGTTGAAATCTTGATCCCCAAGGTAATGGTATTTGGAAATGAGGCCTTTTGGAGTCAGAGCACTCATGGCTGGAATTTGTGTCCTTAAAAAAGATCCCTGGGAGTTAGCTCATCTCTTTTGCCATGAGAAGACAATGCTGTCTATGAGGACGTGGGCCCTCCCAAGACACAGAATAATTTGGTGCTGGTGCTTGATCTTGGACATCCCAGCCTCCAGAATTGTGAGAAATACATATTTATAGTTATAAGCAACCCAGTTTATGAAACTTTGATATAGCAATCTGAATGGACTGACATGTGAGTAGATATGTCTTTAACTATATGTCACCTAGACATATCTCTCTCCCTTTCTTCCTTCAGGTCACATGGCCCTTTCAGTGAGGCCTTTGATAAACATCCCAATTTAAGTCTTTGTTAAAAACCAAAAACAGAAAAGCTCTCCTTATTCTCCATCTTCATCCCTTCTGTTGCCTTTTTGCTTTTCATTCCACTTATTATCTATCACATAACATTTTT